>NC_000017.11:8218383-8369898 GCF_000001405.40 Homo sapiens | reverse complement strand
CACCAGAAGAACCCAGTACCCAAGAGAGGCCTTGCACCAAAGCCCATGACTTTTAAGGACATAGACTCCACATGCCAAGTTGAAATACTTGACATGCAGTCCAGTGCCGATGGTGAGTTCAAGTTCATTTTATACTACCAGGATCACTCAACCAAGTTTATTATTTTACGGCCATTAAGAACCAAACAGGCCCATGAGGTGGTCAGTGTCTTGTTAGATATTTTCACAATTCTTGGTACACCCAGTGTGTTAGACTCTGACAGTGGCGTTGAGTTCACAAACCAGGTTGTTCATGAGCTCAATGAGTTGTGGCCAGACCTAAAGATTGTATCTGGTAAGTACCACCCTGGCCAAAGCCAGGGCTCCCTGGAAGGAGCAAGCCGTGATGTAAAGAACATGATAAGTACCTGGATGCAGAGTAACCACTCATGTCACTGGGCCAAAGGCCTCCGATTCATGCAGATGGTGAGGAATCAGGCTTTCGACGTTTCCTTGCAGCAAAGTCCATTTGAGGCAATGTTTGGCTATAAAGCCAAATTTGGGCTATATTCCTCAAACTTGCCCCGGGAAACTGTGGCTACTTTACAAACGGAAGAAGAGCTAGAAATTGCTGAAGAACAGCTAGAAAATAGCCTTTGGATCAGGCAGGAAGAAAGGGCTGAGATTGGAGCAGACAGATCTGATATGGACGATGACATGGATCCCACTCCTGAAGCTTCAGAACCCAGCACCTCACAAGGGACTTCCGGTCTCCTCTGCTGGTGAACAGATGGCTGCTGGGTGGACAGTCACAGGTGTCTCTCTGAGCATAGTCATCTGAGAACTGTTGCCAGAGGCCCCAGAGGAAAAGATTGAAGGCTGCACTCTCAGGTCAAGTTGTACATGGCAGTCCTTGCTCAAAAAGACAAAAGTTCAGGTCTGTGTATTTATTCTTAGGGCTGCCATAAAAAATTACCACAACCTGGCCGGGCGCAGCGCTCATGCCCGTAATCCCAGCACTTTGGTAGGCCAAGGTGGGCG
This sequence comes from Homo sapiens, assembly GCF_000001405.40. NCBI lineage: Eukaryota > Metazoa > Chordata > Mammalia > Primates > Hominidae > Homo > Homo sapiens. Next base: position 8,368,878 of record NC_000017.11, on the reverse strand, counting down.
GGTCACTTGAGATCAGGAGTTCAAGACTAGCCTGGCCAACATGATGAAACCCTGTCTCTACTGAAAATATAGAAATTAGCCAGGCTTGGAGCTGTGTGCCTGTAATCCCAGCTAACCAGGAGGCTGAGGCAGGAGAATCACTTGAACCCAGGAGGCAGAGGTTGCAGTGAGCCGAGACCATGCCACTGCACTCCGGCCTGGGTGACAAAGCAAGACTCTGTCTCAAAAAAAAAAAAAAAAAATTACCACCACATGGGTGACTTAACAGAAATTGAGTCTCACAGTTCTGGAGGCCCAAAGTCTGAAATTAAAGTGTTAGTAAGGTAGGTTCTTTCTGGAGGCTCTGGGGGAGAATCCATTCCATGCCTTTCTCCTTTCTCTAGTGGCCATCGGCAATCCTTGGCAGTCCTTGGCTTGTGACAGTGTAAGTCCAGTCTCTGCTTCTATCTTCATGTGGCCTTCTCCCCTGAGAAGGCCATAATTTTTTATGGCAGCCCTAAGAATAAATACACAGACCCGAACTTTTCCCTTATTAAGCAAGGACTACCATATACAACTTGACTTGAAATACACAGGAATACCTGTGTGTATTCTTTCCTGTCTCTTGTAAAGACATCACTGGACACCAAATCCATGTCACTGGATTTAGGGCCCACTCTAATGAGGATGATCTCATCTCGAGATCCTTACCTTAATTAGATCAGCGAATACTCTTTCCAAGTAAGGTGACATTCACAGGTACTAGGGACCTGAACTTGAACTTATTTATTTATTTTTTTTTTCATTTTTTTAGAGATAGGGTCTCCTTATATTGCCCAGGCTGGTCTCAAACTCCTGGGCCCAAGGGATTGGCCTCCCAAAGTGCTAGGATTACAGGCACACGCCACCACACCCAACCAGGACTTTTTTTTTTTTTTTTTTGCTCTTAACTTTTTTTTTTTTTTTTTAATTGATCATTCTTGGGTGTTTCTTGCAGAGGGGGATTTGGCAGGGTCACAGGACAATAGTGGAGGGAAGGTCAGCAGATAAACAATGGATTAAGGGCGGTGCAAGATGTGCTTTGTTAAACAGATGCTTGAAGGCAGCATGCTCCTTAAGAGTCATCACCACTCCCTAATCTCAAGTACCCAGGGACACAAACACTGCGGAAGGCCGCAGGGTCCTCTGCCTAGGAAAACCAGAGACCTTTGTTCACTTGTTTTTTTTTTTTTTTTTTGAGACAGGGTCTCGCTCTGTCACTGAGGCTGGAGTGCAGTGGCACAATCTGGGCTCACTGCAGCCTCTGCCTCCCCAGTTCAAGCAATTCTCCTGCCTCAGCCTCCCCAGTAGCTGGGACTACAGGCGTGCACTGCCACACCTGGCTAATTTTTTTTTTTTTTGGAGACAGAATCTCACTCTGTCGCCCAGGCTGGAGTGCAGTGGCATGATCTGGGCTCACTGCAGCCTCCGCCTCCCAGGTTTAAGCGATTCTCCTGCCTCAGCCTCCTGAGTAGCTGGGACTACAGGCACGCACCCCCACGAACCCAGCTAATTTTTGTATTTTTAGTAGAGACGGGGTTTCACTATGTTAGCCAGGATGGTCTCGATCTCCTGACCTCGTGATCCACCTGCCTCTGCCTCCCAAAGTGCTGGGATTACAGGCGTGAGCCACCACGCGCGGCCAGACTTACCTTTTTAAGAGACACACTTCTCATTGTAGTCAATAGAAGTATATGTCTGCAAAACAAGAACTGATGGATGAGGTCTCAAGAATGTAAAGCTGGTGGGACTGCCCTAGATATATCTAATACATATTCCTGCCCCTCAGACACATACTCTAAAACATGGAGGCATCACAGGAAAATAAGTAGATGAAGGAAGGCTGGGCACGGTGGCTCATGCCTGTAATCCCAGCACTTTGGAGGCTTAGGCGGCCGATCACTTGAGGTCAGGGGTTCGAGACCCGCCTGGCCAACATGGTGAAACCCCGTCTTTACAAAAATGCAAAGTATTAGCCGGGCACGGTGGCATGCACCTGTAATCCTGGCTACTCAGGAGCCTGAGGTAGGAAGATCCCTTGAACCTAGGAGGCAGAGGTTGCAGTGAGCCGAGATCATGCCACTGCACTCCAGCCTGGGCGACAGAGCAAGGCTCTATCTCAGAAAAAAAAAAAGTAGATGAAGGAAAAGTAATAGGAAGAAACAAGGTTCATCTAAGATGCCCTAGAGACTGGCCACCTTACCAACTGGGCTCTGTTTCCCGCTTCAGGAGAAACTGTATGTGCCATCCCTTTTCTCAGAGCATTATGCACAGATAATTGTGTAACTGCATGAAACATATATTAAAATTAGGTCAGAAGTAAAGTATGGTTGGAATTTGGGTATGCGTCTGCCACTTGTCTGTGTCTCAAGCACTTAAAAACATATCCTATTCCTGGCACAGTTCAGTGCATTTCGGGAAGTGACCAATAGTCAGGGAAATAATCAAGGTTTCTGGAACAAAATGCAAGAGTTGGCCTGAGATCACTGCTCTACCTAGAGAGGAGTAGGGCAAGGCCAGTCTGGGCCATGATTCAGAGTAAGGATGACTGACCCAGCCACAGGGGAGGACAGTGCCCAGGACCTGTGTACTCCTATGTTCCCAATGCCTAAGAGTGCCCAGCCCATGGAAAGTGTTCAGTGAATTTAATGAATAAATGATTCTACAGAAATGGGCACGGGGAAGGAGAAAGGGCCTGCAGTCTTTTATTTTTATTTTATTATTTTTTTTTTGAGATGGAGTCTCGCACTGTCGCCCGGGCTGGAGTGCAGTGGCCACAATCTTGGCTCACTGCAACCTCCACCTTCCAGGTTAAAGCGATTCTCCTGCCTCAGCCTCCCAAGTAGCTGGGATTACAGGCGCCCGCCAACCACGCCCGGCTAATTTTTTGTATTTTTAGTAGAGATGGGGTTTCACTATGTTGGCCAGGCTGGTCTCGAATGCCTGACCTCATGATCCGCCTGTCTTGGCCTCCCAAAGTGCTGGGATTACAGGCGTGAGCCACTCGCCCGGCCGGTCTTTTATTCTTCATACAAGTGTCCTTCCTGCACATCCCAGAGCTATCTAAGACCCATTCTGATCATCACTAATGCCAGTTCCCTCTTCTGTAAGGGGCAGTAACACCCCTGGTGCTGCCTACCTCACAGGATTGTCCTGAGAGACCAGCGAGATTCTGCATGTGAAGGGGCTTTCTCTGAATAGTGAAGTTCTACAATGTGACTCATCTTTGCGGACCCTGTCCTCCACGTGAGGGTGGGAGACCTCTGCTCATTGCCATTTCTTTTCAGATTCTGCAGTGTTAAGTTGGAAGGTTTCCACGGAAGCCACATTATTATTACATAGGAAGTGACATCACTTTCCAGCTTGTTTTGGGGGGCCAAAATCTTGCTATGTTCTTGGCCAGCACCTCAGTTTCCATCCTCCTTCCAACCCATTGTCTTTCTTTGTAACTCTGCCTAACAGGTCTGGGAGGTCCAACTTTGACTGAGGATGTTACCTTCCCCTCCCCAGTGCTGACCTCCTCCCTCCTAGTTACTTGGCATACCGGGAACCACATCATCAACTCCTGTGGGTAAAAGGTGACACATGAGCCATAACACTGCTTGCTTTCCCAGAGATGCCTGGGTTTCCAGGAGCTGCCACATCACTCTTCCTCTTTTGCATCTTAATGTTGGCAGTGGGAAAGAGTTAGAGGTGGATTCCTGGACCCAGTCTGGCCTGCATTATTTCAGCATGTGGAATAGAGGTCACTAACCGGTGTGCCACAGGCTAGTCTCAGCTTGCAAATGTATTTTGTCCACATAATGTTTTTAATTTTTTTTTTTTCTAAACAGAGTTTCGTTCTTGTTGCCTAGGCTGGAGTGCAATGGCGTGATCTCGGCCCACTACAACCTCCACCTCCCGGGTTCAGGTGATTCTTCTGCCTCAGCCTCCTGAGTAGCTGGGATTACAGGTGCCCGCCACCACGCCTGGCTAATTTTTGTATTTTTAGTAGAGACGGGGTTTTGTCATTTTGGCCAGGTTGGTTTCAAACTCCTGACCTCAGGTGATCCACCCACCTTGGCCTCCCAAAGTGCTGAGATTACAGACGTGAGCCATGGTGCCCGGCATTTTAAATTTTTTTTTTTTAATTAATTGCCAACACTTTAAACACTGGAGAGTTCATATAAAAATCTGGATGTCTAGCACCTCTTGAGAACTCGGCATATGTGGCCACAGTGGGTCCACAATTTCTGCACAGCAGCAAATGAGGAGACGCAGTGCATGTGGCACTCTCCAGGTGGCCACCCTCAGCCACTCACATGCATATTCGTTTCTGTGGCCCACTGCTGAAGAAAGGCCACTGCGGGGCATGGTGCCATGTACCTGTAATCCCAGCTACTTGGGAGGCTGAAGTGGGAGGATCACTTGAACCTGGGAGGCCAAAGTTAAAGTGAGCCATGATCGTATCACCACACTGCAGCCTGGGTGACAGAGACCCTGTTTCCAGAAAAAAAGAAAAAAGAAAAAGAAAAATGGCCAGCAACAGACCTGTGTATCTCTAGGAACTTATGATAGAAGTGGCATTTCAATCAGTGGGAAGGGTTGTATTATTCAGTTAATGGGGCTGGATCAATTGGCTGTCCATTTGACAAAAATGAAGTCTGACCCCTAAACATTAAACATTTAAAAATAATGATAAAAATATTGGGGGGCTGGGTGCGGTGGCTCACGCCTGTAATCCAAGCACTTTGGAAGGCCAAGGTGGGTGGATCACCTGAGGTCAGGAGTTCGAGACCAGCCTGGCCAACCTGGCAAAACCCTGTCTCTACTAAAAATACAAAAATTAGCTGGGTGTGGTGGCAGGCGCCTGTAATCCCAGCTACTCAGGAGGCTGAGGCAGGAGAATCACTTGAACTCGGGAGGCAGAGGTTGCAGTGAACCAAGATCGCACTACTGCACTCCAGCCTGGGCAACAGAGCAAGAATCTGTCTAAAAAATAAATAAATAAATAAATAAATATATATATATATATATATATATATATATATGTATGATATATATATGTATGATATATATATGTATGATATATATGTATGACATATATATGTATGATATATATATGTATGTATGAAAAAAGATGTTTGTGATCTTGGAGAAAAATATTAATACATCTGGCTACATAAAAATAAATACTGGTATGGAAAAATAATGCCATTTAAAAAGTAGAAAATAGGCTAGGTGCAGTGGCTCATGCCTGTAATCCCAGCACTTTGGAGGCCAAGATGGACGGATCACCTGAAGTCAGGAGTTTGAGACCAACCCGGCCAAAATGGCGAAACCGCATCTCTACTAAAAATACAAAAATTAGGCATGGTGGCAGGTGCCTGTAATCCTAGCTACTCAGGAGGCTGAGGCACAAGAATTGCTTGAATCTAGGAGGCGGAGGTTGCAGTGAGCTGAGATCGTGCCACTGCACTCTAGCCTCGGTAACAGAGTGAGACTCCCTCTCAAAAAAAAAATTGTTTTCTAAAAATCTGTTATGATTTTCTTTCTCATCCTTGGCCATTTCTTCTAGTCTTAGTTTTAGCTGTGACTTTTCTGTGTAAGACTCACTTATGCCTCTTCCAGGCTCCTGCCTTCTGACTACTATGGGCTTCTCAGAGTCAATAATCTCCCCTAACATATTCTTCCTTCTGTATTCCACTAGTTCTATTAATGGCACCATGGGTCACCCAACCCAGAGTCATCAGTGTATCATTCTCCCTCACTGCCCCTAGCCAATTTGCTAAATCATGTCATCCCTACCAGTAGCAGATTATATTTTCCAAATGTCAATGCAACAGTATATCTGTAACACATGTTCTTCGAGAACTTTGCACTTTCCTATCAAGAGATGGAGTTTTTATCACCCCTCCTTGAACTTCGGCAGAAATTTGTTCTTGCCTTGACCAGTCTAGTACAAAACAGTAATAATATGTGGCTTCTGAGGCTGTTATAAAAATGCCACCTCACTCTCTTGGAATGGTTTACTCTTGAAACACAGTCACCATGTTGTGAAGAAGCCCAGGCAGCCTGTGGAGAGGCCCACATTGAGAGGAGCCAAAGCCCTGGGCCCTCGGCCCTGGCTGAGCTCTTAGCCAACAGACAGAACCAACCTGCCAACCATGTGAGTGAGCCATCTTAAAAGGAGACTCCCCAGCCCCCAGTTCATCGTCCATTCAATACTGTATAGAACAGAGACAAGCCCTGGCCAAATTGCAGAGTCATGTGCAAAATAAATGAATGTTGTTGTTTCAAGCCACCGAGTTTAGAGGTGGTTTGTTATGCAACAGTACATAACTGATAGGCTAACTCTGAAATGTCTTAAATCTGTTACCATCTCTCCATTCCCCCAGGACAGGCTCTTGTTACCTTTGTTGATTGGAGACAACCCACCTAGTGAATCTTCCAGAAGTAAAGCTCTGCTTGGAATAATAGTTAACACTACTGAATACTAATTTACCTACAGTATTAGTATTGAGCTTTAAATTCATTTTCTTTTTTTTTTTTGAGATGGAATCTTCCTCTGTCGCCCAGGCTGGAGTGCAGTGGCGCAATCTTGGCTCACTACAAGCTCCACCTCCCGGGTTCACGCCATTCTCCCGCCTCAGCCTCCCAAGTAGCTGGGACTACAGGCACCCGCCAACACGCCCGGCTATTTTGTATTTTTAGTAGAGACGGGGTTTCACCATGTTAGCCAGGACGGTCGGTCTTGATCTCCTGACCTCGTGATCCACCACCCACCTTGGCCTCCCAAAGTGCTGGGATTACAGGCGTGAGCCACCACGCCTGGCCTTAAATTCATTTTCTTATGTAATCCTTACGATCCTACAAAGTCAGTTGAAGCTGAAGAAATGAGTTTAAATAGGTGTATTAAGGACTTAATTTTCCTCTCATAAAGAAAGAAATAAAGCTCAGAAAGTAATAACTAGCCCAGGGTTCAAACCTAAGTGTCAAGTCCAAGGTCAATGCTTATAACCATCTTCCCTGCTCAAGAATCTCCATTGGGCCAGGTGCAGTGGCTCGTGCCTGTAATCCAAGCACTTTGGAGGCTGAGGCAGGAGGATTGCTTGAGCCACAGGGTTCGACACCAGCCTGGGCAACATAGTGAGGCATGGTATTAGGTTTGGTGGCTCACACTGTAGGCCCAGCTACTTGGGTGGCTGAGGTGGAAGGATCTCTTGAGCCCAGGAGGTCAAGGCTGCAGTGAGCTACGATTGCACCACAGCCCTTCAGGGGAAAAAAAGAAATCTGCAGTGGTTCCTCACTCACAGGATAACAACTTAAACCTGGCATCCAAGTTGGACTATCATATGGTCCCAACTACCTTTGCAGCTTTGGAATTAAGGCATCAGGTCTAGGCACATGAATTTCCTGGTTGCACTTGTTTTGTGTGGGGTGGCAGGAAGAAACTCAGGCCATCGGCTACTCTAGGCACTGCCAGAGTCACTTATTCTTTCCAGAACTTGGCTTCCTCATCTAAGGTGACAGACAATTGAACCAACTCGTTTTAAAGTTCTCTTCCAGTTCTGCCCTGTGTAGTATGAAGACTGTCCTCTTCTACTTTTGTACTTCCTACCTCTTCTAGAACCCCAGCCTGAGCTTCCTGCCAGGGCACATGTCCCCACTTCCGAGATGGAGAGAAGATAGGAGACTTAGAGATGAATGCTTTTGTGAATGTTCTCTATTTACCCACTTTTTCAGAACTAGCTTTGGCCTTATATTGTGGAATAGAATCTGCTTGTCTGCAGCTCTAGGGGTAGAAGGAACGTTTTCTTCTGATATTTCTGAGATCCCTATTACCAGTGGTTTTTTTGAGACTAAGCATTGGAATGTCATTAGCACTGAGAAGGAAGGGCAGTGGGGGAGGCAACCGAGAAGCTCAGACTTACATTCTTGCTTCCAAATTATTTTGCATGCTTTCTGGACATTAGTACAACAGACCATTGAAGTATGGTTTGCCAAGGTTAGGTTCAATCAGTGCATGAGCCCGTTACCTCTGCAATTACTTTACCCTTCTTCAATTTGGTGACTTTGGGTTGTTGAATTGTAAGGGGGAAAGGTTTTTTGTTTTGTTTGTTTTTTTTAGTTTGTGATTTACAGTTCTTCCTTCCATTTGTTTTGTGGAAGCTTTATAGAAATTGATTTGAAACCTGAGATACTTTGAAATATAAAAGAGCAAGAGTTATCCCAGGACTCTCATTCAAAAAGTTGACGGATGGCAAAACAAGCTTGTCCCTGGAATCTTCAGAATTTTCTTCAGAATTCTATCCCTTTGAACTTACTGAATTTGGTTTCTTTTTTAGTTCCTGGTTCTTCCTTATTTTTATCATGGTGCTAATCTTTGTTTACCCAGGTTCTGACATTTTTACCCTAGAATTAATTACCCCAGATGGTCGACTCTACTGTGTTTTCCAAGCAAACAAAGAAGGCAGGAAATGTGAGCTTCCTGAGCAAATTGCCTTTCCGTTTTAATATGAGACTTTGCCTTTTAGAATCATATTTTTCTTATGTTTACTTTTCTTCATTATTATTATTATCATTATTATTATCATTTTGGTTTGGATCTAGTTAGAGTTTCCCTTTTCCATTTAAAATTTGGTCCTGATATTTTGCTTTTTGCTTCCCCATGTCTCAATTTGTTAAATCTTATTGTTCTATGTAATTTGAATTGCTACATCCTTTCTGTTGACTAGCTCCTTGCTCAGAATAACTTTTCCACACCTGGAACTTTGGCGTAGGAGTTCTTTTCACTTTTATGCATTTCCCGCGACATTACAGGGTGAGTACGTAGCAGATGAGTGCTTGTGAGCCTTTCCTCTGGGATTCACACAGATGGCTCACTCCTAACTTTGGTGAGTCATTCAGTGGCCAGATGTTTGCCTCTTTCCTCCTCCCCACTCTACCCCCACAATTCAGTGTACTGTTCTTTGAATGACATCCCCTCTTGTTTTTGCCTCTCTTTCTCCTGATGCAATGGCCAAAATGCTGGAAATGGCTGCCTTAAATGTAGGGACCATTAGGATCTCGCTCAACACAGAACCCAGGCCACCTGTAATAACACAGCTGGCTCCCAGTCCTGAAACCCTGCCTTTCTGCCCTGAATGGGGTGCAGAGAACCAGTCCAGACACCTGAAACTGCCACCCTTCTTCATCTGTAGGTGCAGGGGCCCTCTGTATCAGGAAGAGAGCCTCTCTGAAATCCACTGTCATTCTGGGCTTTTCCTGGACCAGCTCTCCTTACCTACCCCCTTCTCTAGCCTGTCAGTTTCACTCATTCATTGGACATTTATAAGCACTAAGTATGTACCAGGCATCATGCTGGCCTTTGGTGGTACCAACAAATAAAGAGACTGCTAAATGCAGAAAAATAGGCACAGAGTAAAGACTTGTAAGTCTGTAAAGGAGTGCTCAGTGAGAAGTCACACAAGCTAAGTTTCCAAGGACCATTTGCAGATCACTGCTGAACATTCTCCATCCTGCCTACTTTGTATTAGAGGACTTCTTGCAGGGAGAAATATAATCAGCAGGATCCTCGCTCAGAGACCTGGCAGACACCACCTTAACCCAGTGATCAAAGTTAACCTCCCCAGTACATGTACAACTACTGCTGCCCTGAAAGGATGCACTGAGAACATTTCTGTGTCATTTCTACCACAGATGCGCTACTTGAATCTAATTATGAAGAGACAAGAGACAAACCCAGATTGAGGGGCATTCAGCAAAATAATTGCCCTGTACTCTTTAAAAAACGGCAATGTTGAGAAAGACAAAGAAAGACTGAGGAGCTATTCCAGTTAAAGTAGGCTAGAGACACTGGGAACCAAATGTGATGCATGATCCAGGATATTCTTTTATTACAATGAGCATCATTGGGACAGTTGGTAAAATGTGAATATTGTCTGAAGAGTATAATATTGTATCAAAGTTAATTTCCTGGTCTTGAGGATTGTACTGTGGTTATGTAAGAGAATGTCCTTGTTTTTAGGAAATAGATGTTGAAATATCTTGAGATAAAGAGCATTATGTCGGCGACTTATTATCAAATAGTACAGGAAAATGAGTGTGTGTGTGTGTGTGTGTGTGTGTGTGTGTGGAGAGAGAGAGAGAAGGGAGGGACAGAGGGACAGAGAGATATAAAACCAATGCACCTGGGTGCGGTGGCTCACGCCTGTAATCCCAGCACTTTGGGAGGCCAGGGTGGGCAGATCATGAGGTCAGAAGTTCGAGACCAGCCTAACCAACATGGTGAAACCCCGTCTCTACAAAAATACAAAAATCAGCCAGGCGTGGTGGCACGCGCCTGTAATCCCAGCTACTCAGGAGGCTGAGGCAGGAGAATTGCTTGAACCCAGGAGGCGGAGGTTGCAGTGAGCCAAGATCACGCCACTGCACTCCAGCCTGGTGACAGAGCAAGACTCTGTCTCAAAAAAAAAAAAAAAATGCAGTAAAATGTTAACATTTGGGGAATCTGGGTGAAGAGTGGGAATTCTTTGTACTATTCTTGCAACTTTTCTGTAACTCTACAATTACGTCCAAAAAAAGAAGAATTGACAAGGTCCCACCAAAGAGGAGAGACAGCTTTGAACATGGAAATACAGGGCAGTAACTTGGCAGTTTGCTCTTTGGCCTGCAAAGGCAGTATTCATGTGAGTGAGAGTCACTTGTCTTCAAGTCCTGGCATTTTATGTAGCAGATCCCAAAAGCTGCCTGAAAGCCCCCAGGCCTTGTGTCGTTTCCCCTTCTGTTCACAGGTATCTTCCAGGCACTCACTAGAATATGGTGTCTGACAAGTTTCTCAGCTAACCAAGCATGGACCCAGAATTCTCAGAAATACCAAGGACAGTTTCTATGGCACTGACCAGGCTTCACCCTAGAGAGTGGTCCCCTACCGAGAACAATTCTTCCTTTCCCCTGGCTACAAAATAGGGATTCCTGGCCTATTTCTGCCAAATGCTTTGTGGAAGCAGAAAATCATAAGCCTTGTGTTTTCTCCATTATAGAAAATTAGGCCAGGTGTGGTGGCTCATGCCTGTAATCCCAGCACTTTGGGAGGCCGAGGCGAGTGGATCACTTGAGGTCAGGAGTTCAAGACCAGCCTGGCCAACATGCTGAAACCCTGTCTCTACTAAAAATACAAAAACTAGCCAGGCGAGGTGGCGGGCATCTATAACCCCAGCTACTCAGTAGGCTGAGGCACGAGAATCGCTTCAACCTGGGAGGCAGAGGTTGCAGAGATTGCGCCACTGTACTCCAGCCTGGGCAACAGAGCGAGACTCTGTCTCCAAAAAAAAAAAAAGAAAAGAAAAATAATATTCCCTCTTTCTTGGCCCTTGGTTTTTGGGGTGCTTTTTTGTTGTTTAATAATGGACTTTATTTTTATTTTATTTTTATTTTTGAGACGGAGTTTCGCTCTTGTTGCCCAGGCTGGAGTGGAATGGTGTGATCTCGGCTCACTGCAACCTCCACCTCCCGGGTTCAAGCAATTCTCCTGCCTCTGCAAATCTGTAGTTTACATTAGGGTTCACTCTTTGTGCTATGCATTCTATTGTGTTTGTTTGTTTGTTTAGAGACAGGGTCTCACTCTATTGCCCAGGCTGGAGTGCAGTGGCGCAGTCATGGTCTACTTCAGCCTCAAGCTCCTGAGCCTAAGTGATCCTTCCACCTCAGCCTGCCAAGTAGCTGAGACTACAGCATGTGCCACCATGCCTGGCTCATTCTATGGGTTTTGACAAATGTAAAATTACATGTAGCTACCATTAAAGTATCATACAGAATAGTTGCACTATCCCAAAAATCCCCTGTACTCTAGCTAGCTATTCATCCCTCCCTTCCTACTCCCCAAACTCCTGGAAACCACTGATCTTTTTACTCTCTATAGTTCTGCCTTTTCCAAAATGTTATATATAGTATGTTCCTTTTTCAGACTGCCTTCTTATACTTCACAATGTGTATTTAAGTTTCCTCCACGTCTTTTGTGGCTTGAATAGTTCATTTCTTTTTTGCACTGAATAATATTCCATTGTATGGATATACCACAGTTTATGCATTCACCTACTGAAGGATATCTTGCTTGCTCCTAATTTTCGGCAATTATGAATAAAGCTGCTATAAAGATTTGTGTGTGGTTTTTGTGTGGGCATCAGATTTTGGTTCATTTGAGTAAATAGGAGCACAACAATCACGAGATTGTATTTTAAGAGTATGTTTAGTTTTGGCCGGGCGCGGTGGCTCACGCCTGTAATCCCAGCACTTTGGGAGGCTGAGGTGGGCGGATCACGAGGTCAGGATATCGAGACCATCCTGGCTAACACAGTGAAACCCTGTCTCTACTAAATACACAAAAAAATTAGCCGGGTGTGGTGGTGGGCACCTGTAGTCCCAGCTACTGTGGAGGCTGAGACAGGAGAATGGCGTGAACCCGGGAGGTGGAGCTTACAGTGAGCCTAGATCGCGCCACTGCAGTCCAGCCTGGGCGACAGAGTGAGACTCCATCTCAAAAAATAAAAAAGTATGTTTAGTTTTTTAAGAAATTGCCAAACCAGGCTGGGCACGGTGGCTCGTGCCTGTTATCCCAACACTTTGGGAGGCCGAGGTCAGAAGTTCAAGACCAGCCAGGCCAACATGGTGAAACCCCGTTACTACTAAACATGCAAAAAAAAAATTAGCCGGGCATGGTGGCACGCCCCTGTAATCCCAGCTACTTGGAGGCCGAGGTGGGAGAATTGCTTGAATGTGGGAGACGGAGACTGCAGTGAGCTAAGATTGTGCCACTGCGCTCCAGCCTGGGCAACAGAGGGAGACACTGTCCCAAAAAAAAAAAAGAAAAGAAATTGCCAAACTGTCTTCCAATGTTGCTGGCCATTTCGCCTTCCCACCAACAATGAATGAGAGTTCCTGTTATTCCACATCATCACTTGCTTTTGGTGTTGTCAGTATTTTGGATTTTAACTATTCAAATAAATGCAGCGGTATCTCATTGTTTTAATCTGCAATTCCCTTGAGAACATATGATGTTGAACATCCTTTCATATGGTTATTTGCCATATGTATATCATCTCTGGCGAGATGTCTGTAGATCTTTTGCATATTTTTAAATATTTTGTACATTTTTAAATTGGTTAGTTGAGTTTTAAGAATTCTTTGCCTGCTGAGGAAAACAGTCTTTTATCAGATATGTCTTTTGCAAATACTTTGTCCCAGTGAGTGCTTTGTCTTTTCATACTCTTGAGACACTTGAGTGTCTCACTATGTTGTCCAGGCTGATCTTGAACTACTGGCCACAAGCAATCCTCCTGCCTCAGCCTGCCCCATGGCTGGGCTCGGCCCAACACTTGGTTTTTATTTACCCTATTTCTATGTCTCTGTTTCAGAGCTGGCTGGCTAATCTTGGCTACAGCCAGAGACTACAAACTATTGAACTAACAACAATAGAGATTTTTAAAAGAAAAAAAAAAAGCTGTTTTCAAGATAAAAGTTTACTTACTCCAGTGCTGTGAAAATCAAAATCAATATGCTTAGCACTCAGTCACTTGAGGAAACTAATAAAACCTAAGAATGTTGTTTGTTTTTGTTTTTTTGTGAGACAGAGTCTTGCTTTGTCGCCAGGCTGGAGTACAGTGGTGCGATCTCGGCTCACTGCAACCTCCACCTCCCCAGTTCAAGCGGTTCTCCTGCCTCAGCCTCCCGAGTAGCTGGGACTACAGGCATGCGCCACCACACCCAGCTAATTTTTGTATTTTTAGTAGAAACGGGGTTTCACCATGTTGGCCAGGCTGATCTTGAACTCCGGACCTCAAGTGATCCACCCACCTGGGCCTCCCAAAGTGCTGGGATTATAGGTGTGAGCCACTGTGCCTGGCCATGCTTAATAATTTTGGACCCCAGTTGACCACGGGTAATTGACACCATGGAAAGCGAAGCAAAACCACCAGATACCTTGATCTTGGATTTCTTGATAATGAGAGAACTACTGATAATAAGGAAATACCAGATAGTGAGGGAACTACTGTAAATTCTAATCTATATTGAGGAACGAAGACATGATCATCAAAAGCATAACTGTGCTGTATCTTAAAATCTTTACATTCTTTTTCTTTTTTTTTTTTTGTTTGTTTGTTTGTTTTCAGACAGGGTCTTACTCTGGCACCCAGGCTGGAGTGCAGTGGTGCGATCTTGGCTCACTGAAGCTTTGACCTCCTGGGCTCAGGCACTCCTCTCACCTCAGTCTCCCTTGTAGCTGGGACTATAGGCCTGTGCAACCGTGCCCGGCTAATTTTTGTATTTTTTGTAGAGTCGGGGTTTCACCATGTTTCCCAGGCTGATCTCGAATTCCTCAGCTCAACCAATCTGCCTGTCCTGGGTTCCGAAAGTGCTGGGCTTCCAGGCGTGAGCCACCACCCTGCCTCCCTTCTTCTTCTGTCAAGTGTATTTGTAAATGTTTCCTTCATTATTCAGACTTCATACATTTATTGTTCTCTCTGATGGAATATTGCCAGCCTCTTCAAGCCTTGCTGTCTGATTGTAATTCAAATTGAGGTCTGCGGATCGGGAGTTGTCTTTGTAAAGCAGAACAATTTTAGTTTCAGTCTATTTTTATCTTCCCTTTAGCCAAAGAAGTTGTGTCCATCAGCAGTCTCAGTAATGCTAAGGTAATAAGCAACCCTAAAATCCTAGATGCTTACAATAACCAGGTTAAATTCTCACCCACACCGTGTGTCTTGGTCTGCTCAGGCTGCCATTGCAAAAGTCCATAGACTGGGCGCCTTAAATAACAGAATTATTTTTCTCACAATTCTGGAGGCAAGAAATTCAAGATCCAGGTTCTGGCTGATTCCGTTTTTGGGGAGGGCTTCCTTCCTAGCTCAAAGACAGCTGCCATCTAGCTATGTCCTCACACGGCCTTTCTTCAGTGCATGTTTGCAGAGAGAAAGAAACAGCTCTGGTGTCTCTTATAAAGAACCACTAATCCTATCGGATAGGGCTCCCACCCTTATGACGTGATTTAACCCTAATTACCTCCTAAAAAGCCCTATCTCCAAATACAGCCACATTGGGAGTAAAGGCTTCAACATACAAATTTCAGGGAGAAACGGTTTAGTCCATAGCACTACCTATCCATCAAGTATCTGCTGTGGGCTCCTCTCCATGTCTCCTCATTCCAGCACCCAGGGTGACAGATCAGCCACCACCTTGAATGTCGTTACTGTGGCACAGGGAATTAACACTAGTAATTAAATGCTCCACATCCACTTCCAAATCTCCTACCAAATATCTCTGTGGCTCAAGCTAACCTGAAACACTGCAGGAAGAGACTTCTGGAAAATAGTTGCAGTTTAGCTAAGCTGACACAATACACCAAATAGGTAAGGAAGAAAGAATACCCAATCCTAGGCTGGGTGCGGTGGCTCCTGCCTGTAATCCCAGCACTTTGGAAGGCCAAGGTGGGCGGATCACCTGAGGTCGGGAGTTCGAGACCAGCCTGACCAACATGGAGAAACCCTGTCTCTACTAAAAATACAAAATTAGCGGGGCGTGGTGGCACATGCCTATAATCCCAGCTACTCAGGAGGCTGAGGCAGGAGAATCACTTGAACCCAGGAGGCGGTGTCAGGCCTCTGAGCCCAAGCCAAGCCATCGCATCCCCTGTGACTTGCATGTATACATCCAGATGGCCTGAAGTAACTGAAGATCCACAAAAGAAGTAAAAATAGCTTTAACTGATGACATTCCACCATTGTGATTTGTTCCTGCCCCACCCTAACTGATCAATGTACTTTGTAATCTCCCCCACCCTTAAGAAGGTACTTTGTAATCTCCCCCACCCTTAAGAAGGTTCTTTGTAATTTTCCCCACCCTTGAGAATGTACTCTGTGAGATCCACCCCTGCCCGCAAAACATTGCTCTTAACTTCTTAACTGCCTATCCCAAAACCTATAAGAACTAATGATAATCCACCACCCTTTGCTGACTCTTTTCGGACTCAGCCCACCTGCACCCAGGTGAAATAAACAGCTTTATTGCTCACACAAAGCCTATTTGGTGGTCTCTTCACACGGACGCGCATGAAAGCGGAGGTTGTGGTGAGTCAAGATCGCGCCATTGCACTCCAGCCTGGGTTGGAGTAGAGACGGGGTTTCACCATGTTGGCCAGGCTGGTCTCAAACTCCTGACGTCAGGTGATCTGCCTGCCTCGGCCTCCCAAAGTGCTGGGATTACAAGCGTGAGCCACCACACCTGGCCCTAATTTTTTAAAATAAGGCTTCAGAGACTTGCTTGGCCCTTCCCTCTCTTCCGCCATGTGAAAACACAACAAGAAGGCACCATCTTGGAAACAGAGAGCAAGCCCTCACTAGACACTGAGTCTGCTGGTGCCTTGATCTTAAAGTTCCCGGATTCTAGAACTGTGAAAAATAAATTTCTGTTTTTTATAAATTATCCAATCTCAGGTACTTTGTTATAGAGCACAAATGGACCAAGACATTCAATTAAAATAAATTTTTGGCTGGGTACAGTGGTTCATGGCTGTAATCCCAGTGCTTGGGGAGGCTGAGGCAGGAGGATCTCTTGATGCTGGGAGTTCGAGACCAGCCTGGGCAACAGGATGAGATCCCCCCCCCACCATCTCCAAAAACACTTTTTTTTTTTTTTTTTGAGACAGAGTCTTGCTCTGTTGCCCAGGCTGGAGTGCAGTGGTACAATATCGGTTCACTGCAACCTCCACCTCCTGGGTTCAAGTGATTTTTGTGCCTCAGCCTCCCGAGTAGCTGAAATTACAGGCACCCGCCACCATGCCCAGCTAATTTTTTTTGTTTTGTTTTGTTTTGTTTTGTTTTGCGACGGAGTTTCACTCTTGTTGTCCAGGCTGGAGTGCAATGGCGCGATCTCGGCTCACCGCAAACTCCACCTCCCAGGTTCAATCGATTCTCCTGCCTCAGCCTCCCTAGTAGCTTGGATTACAGGCATGTGCCACTGCGCCTGGCTAATTTTGTATTTTTAGTAGAGATGGGGTTTCTCCATGTTGGTCAGGCTGGTCTCGAACTCCCGACCTCAGGTGATCCGCCCACCTTGGCCTCCCAAAGTGCTGGGATTACAGGCATGAGCCACCACGCCCGGCCTCATGACCAGCTAATTTTTGTATTTTTATTAGAGACAGGGTATTGCCATGTTAGGCAGGCTGGTCTCGAACTCCTGACCTCAAGTGATCCACCCGCCTCGGCCTCCCAAAATGCTGGGATTACAGCCATGGGCCACCGCACCTGGCCCAAAAAACGTTTTGTAAATAAAAATTAGCCGGGCATGGTGGCACATCCCTGTAGTCCTAGCTACTCAGGAGGCTGAGGCAGGAGGATTGCTTAAGCCAAGGAGTTTGAGGCTGCAATGAGCCATGATCATGCCACTGCACTCCAGCCTGGGTGACAGGGCAAGAGTCTCTCTCTAAAAAAAAATTATAGTAATAAAATTTAAAGATCAGAATTTATAAAAACATCTGGATTGGCGGCATCTTTTGAAAAAATCAGAAGCTCTAGCAAATATTCTATTTAAGGTTTTTGGTTGTATACAACAGAAATCAACCCTGGTTAACTTAAGCAGAAAAGGAAGGATATGAAATAACTTACAGAAAGCTGAAGAACAGGCTTAGAGGAGTAAGAACCAAGGGAGGCTAAGCAGCCAGAGCTACAACCCTAGTCATGCCACATGAGTTTTCTGGGAGAAAAACCCTGTGCTGTCCCCCCTAGACAATGGCCCTGTCACCTCTGCTGCAGGATGCAGGATCCTGCATGGACTACAGTGATTCCAATATTCCCTTAATTCTTTGCACTTAATGAAAAGGATACAAAGTCGCAGGTGAACAATCTTTTTTTTTTTGAGATGGAGTTTTGCTCTTGTTGCCCAGGCTGGAGTGCAACGGCACAATCTTGGCTCACTGCAACCTCCCCCTCCCAGATTCAAGTGATTCTCCTGCCTCAGCCTCCCGAGTAGCTGGGATTACAGGCATGCATGACCACGCCCGGCTAATTTTGTATTTTTAGTAGAGACAGGGTTTCTCCATGTTGGTCAGGCTGGTCTCGAACTTCCAACCTCAAGTGATCCGCCCACCTCGGCCTCCCAAAGTGTTGGGATTACAGGCATGAGCCACCGTGCCCTGCCGCAGGTGAATAATCTTAGTCATACGTTGGCACTCTGACTGCCTGAGAGCGGTCCCAGGTGTGTCTTCCCCTCCTGCACCTTCTATAATTGGAAGCGACTCCACTTCCCACTTATGTTGACATTCTCCCCAAATAGGAAAACCATATGAATGCTGAGCAGCTCCATATGACAAATGTTCCTCACAGCAATAACCCATGGAGCTGAGTTGCACCTTCCCCTGTTACATAAGGCAGTTTTCCGGGATATCCCAATCCCACTTGTCTCCCAAAATTAAAATGAAATTCCAGTTGCCATTTCTAATTATGCCCTCCTATTGTAAGATATTTTTTATACCAAAATGTAATGGTAATAAAATATGTCCACAGGCCAGGCGTGGTGGCTCATGCTTGTAATCTCAGCACTTTGGGAGGCCAAGGCGGGTGGATCACTTGAGGTCGGGAGTTCAAGACCAACCTGGCCAACATTGTGAAACCCTGTCTCTACTAAAAATACAAAAATTAGCCAAGCATGGCAGTGGGCACTTGCAGTCCCAGCTACTTGGGAGGCTGAAGCAGAAAAATTGCTGGAACCCATGAGGTCGAGGTTGCAGTGAGCCAAGATCACACCATCGCACTCCAGCCTGGGCGACAAGAGAGAAACTCCGTCTCAACAGAAAAAAAAAAAAAGAAGAAGAAGGAAATCCTGTCATTTACAACAAGATGGATGAACCTGGATGGCATTATGTTAAGTGAAATAAACCAGGCACAGAAAGACAAATACTGCATGATCTCACTTACATGTAGAATCTAATTTAGTCAAACACATAGAAGCAAAGAGTATTATGGTGTTTGCCAGGGGCTGGGGGAGGATGTGACTGAGGAGATATTGGTCAAAGACTATAAGATTGCCGGGTGTGGTGGCTCATGCCTGTAATCCCAACACTTTGGGAGGCTGAGGTGGGTGGATCACCTGAGGTCAGAGGTTCAAGACCAGCCTGACCAAGATGGTGAAACCCCGTCTCTACTAAAAATACAAAAAATCAGCCGGGCATGGAGGCACACACCTGTAATCCCAGCTACTCGGGAGGCTGAGGCAGGAGAATCGCTTGAACCCAGGAGGCAGAGATTGCAGTGACCTAAGATCTCACCATTGCACTCCAGCCTGGGCAATGAAAGTGAAACTCGGTCTCAAAAAAAAAAAAAAAATGCCGGACGCGGTGGCTCACACCTGTAATCCCAGCACTTTGGGAGGCCGAGGCAGGTGGATCATGAGGTCAGGAGATCGAGACTATCCTGGTGAACACGGTGAAACCCCGTCTCTACTAAAAACACAAAAAAATTAGCCAGGCGTGGTGGTGGGCACCTGTAGTCCCAGCTACTCGGGAGGCTGAGGCAGGAGAATGGCGTGAGGTTGCAGTGAGCCGAGATCGCGCCACTGCACTCCAGCCTGGGAGACAGCGAGACTCCATCTCAAAAAAAAAAAAAAAAAAAAAAAAACTATAAGATTTTAATTAGGAGGAATGAGTTCAAGAGACCTATTGTACAACATGGTGACTATAGTCAATAACAATGTATTGCATTTTGAAAAACGTTGAGATAGTAGGTTTTAAGTGTTCTCACCACAAAAAATAGTATGTGAGGGAATGCATACATTAATTAGTTCAACTCAGCCATTCCACAATGTAAACCTATTTCAAAACATCATGTTGTATATGATAAAATAATTTTTAAAAGTTTTTTAAAATTTTTTAAATAATTTTGACAAATTATTCAGCTAAGCTGCTTTTACATTCCTGGCCTTCAGATATGATGTGAGATAATAAATATTTATTATTTTAAGCCACTAAATGTGGGGTAATTTGTTATCCAGCAATAAATAGCTAATACACCAGATCTTTATCAAAAGGGAAAAATTATATACAGACTGTGAGAGTGGCCCCCTTTATTTATGTTACCCACCTAGCCCCTGTATGCATTTGAGTTTGTGACCCCTACAAAATCACTAAGTCAGTTTCTCTAATTACATTATACATACGTGTGTTTGTACCTAAGGCAGAGACCATGACATTCCTTTATTTGGTGTCCCTTCCTCCAGGATGACTAGTTCAGTAAGTCCCCTAGTAAATCCTTGTTCGCTACTGGGGAGAGGATTAAAGTGGGATACAGAGTAGAGATTTGTGGAATATCTGTTGTGCCTAATTTTCAAGCCCTTGTATTATGTTCCTTGCTCAGAATCTTTCCTTTGTTAGGAATCTTTCCTGGGTTAGGAATGCTACAATTGCTGATCAGGTGTGGTAAGAACAAGAATCTCAGACAGGGCTCATATTAAATAGAAGTCAGCTGGGCGTGGTGGCTCACACCTGTAATCCCAGCACTTTGGAGGCTGAGGCGGGCCGATCACCTGAGGCGGGCAGATCAGGATTCAAGACTAGCCAGACCAACATGGAGAAACCCCGTCTCTGCTAAAAATACAAAATTAGCCGGCATGGTGGTGCATGCCTGTAATCCCAGCTACTAGGGAGGCTGAGGCAGGAGAATCGCTTGAACCTGGGAGGCAGAGGTTGCGGTGAGCCAAGATGGTACCATTGCACTCTAGCCTGGGCAACAAGAGCATAACTCCGTCTCAATAAATAAATAAATAAATAAATAAATAAAGTCGATCATATACATTAGGTTGAACCATATAAAATTGCCACATTTAACTACTAACACAACATATATGGTTCAATCTGCAGTGGCGCGATCACGGCTCACTGCAACCTCCATCTTCCAGGTTCAAGCGATTCTCATGCCTCAGCCACCCAGGTAGCTGAGACTACAGGCATGCACCACCACACCCGGCTAATTTTTGTATCTTTAGTAGAGACGGAGTTTCACCATGTTGGCCAGGCTGGTCTCGAACTCCTGACCTCAAGTGATCCGCCCACCTAGTTTTCCCAAAGTGCTGGGATTACAGGCATGAGCCACCTCACGCGGCCCAACCTAATACATATATTTTTAACATACCTGATCCACTCACAATTTGTCCCTGTGAGAGGTGACAGCGTGCTGGCAGTCCTCACAGCCCTTGCTCTCGGCGCCTCCTCTGCCTGGGCTCCCACTTTGGCGGCACTTGAGGAGCCCTTCAGCCCACCGCTGCACTGTGGGAGCCCCTTTCCGGGCTGGCCAAGGCCGGAGTCGGCTCCCTCAGCTTGCAGGGAGGTGTGGAGGGAGAGGCGCGAGCGGGAACCCGGGCTGCGCGCGGCGCTTGCGGGCCAGCTGGAGTTCCGGGTGGGCGTGGGCTTGGCGGGCCCTGCACTCGGAGCAGCCGGCCGACCCTGCAGGCCCCGGGCAATGAGGGGCTTAGCACCCGGACCAGCGGCTGCGGAGGGTGTACTGAGTCCCCCAGCAGTGCCAGCCCACCGGCGCTGAGCTCCATTTCTCGCCGGGGCTTAGCTGCCTTCCCGCGGGGCAGTGCTCGGGACCTGCAGCCCGCCATGCCTGAGCCTCCCACCCCCTCCGTGGGCTCCTGTGCGACCCAAGCCTCCCTGACGAGCGCCAACCCCCTGCTCCACAGCGCCCAGTCCCATCGACCACCCAAGGGCTGAGGAGTGCGGGCGCACGGCGCGGGACTGGCAGGCAGCTCCACTTGCAGCCCCGGTGTGGGATCCACTGGGTGAAGCCAGCTGGGCTCCTGAGTCTGGTGGGGACTTGGAGAACCTTTATGTCTAGCTAAGGGATTGTAAATGCACCAATTGGCACTCTGTATCTAGCTCAAGGTTTGTAAACACACCGATCAGCACCCTGTGTCTAGCTCAGGGTTTGTGAATGCACCAATCAACACTCTGTATCTAGCTGCTCTGGTGGGGACGTGGAGAACCTTTGTGTCTAGCTCAGGGATTGTAAACGCACCAATCAGCGCCCTATCAAAACAGACCACTGGGCTCTACCAATCAGCAGGATGTATTGTGGTTTCATCTGGAGGGATAGACATGACCAAGATCAGCTATGGATGCTCTCCTAGGAGGCTGGCCTCTCTGGGCAACATGTCCAAAGCCTGATGGGCATTGCCAGCATTCCCCAAGCTAACTTTAAAACCCAAATATGCAACTTACCTTTTGGTCTTAGGACCTAACCCTAATGCTTTCCTTTGTTGCCATGTTTTATTCCTGCTGTTACATGGTGGAGGGTGTGGGAGGCTTGGGTGGAAAGCTATAGCAGCCTGGGGGGATGGTGGTAGTGGTGGTTTCCAGGGCACAGGCTCTATGCGCTCTGTCATCGGAGCTGGACACAGAGGGTGGGACTGCTGCCCAGGACACACACCTGGGCTGACCACTTGTGCTGTGGTGCTCCTTGTTTAACCTGCCTCTTATCTTTGAGCCATTTGGCTTTTGAATCCTTCACTATGCTTAAGCCAACAAGTTGGCAAGTGATATCTGTCTCCTAATCAGCTCTACCTCCTCCACCCACTAACTAGCAAATGTTGGGTCAGGGGTAACAAAGTAAAAAGAGGTTTAGCTCTCCAGAGGCGTTTGCCCATGTACAAGTATGTTCTGGTAGAGGTTGGGCAGGTTTAGGCACTAACGGGTGCCAAAAGGCTCCTGGGCAGGAAGAACTGGAAAACAAACTTGTTCTTTCTCCCTTCCTCTCCCTCCTCCTCTAGCTTGCCTCAACAACAGCCAGATATGAGAAAGAAGAGACGGACAATTTATTCCACATCACTCAAGCTCAATCAAGGCAGGGAGAAAGCAGAGGAGTGCAAAATCCTCCCTTTCTCATTCCTTGCAATGATGAGGACCAACCTATTCAAGGGCTGGGGGAGGATGAGGAGATGGGGTCAGATGAATGGACAGAACTTGGTGCCAGGAGTTCAGAAAAGATTACACATGTGTATCCTTCTGCTCAGGATCCAGGACTCCCTCCTGGGTGATGGGGGTGTCTGTGATCGTCTGTGCCCTTGGAGATTCTTCTACTGAGCCGAAACTGCTGCTGCAGGACACGGCACCACTGGGGTGGCTCAGAATCAGACTCCAGAAACTTTTATGGTTGAAGTAGCAAAGGATCGCTGGGAAAGGACAGGGACAGGGGAGAGGAAAGTTGTGACTGGGAGGTTAAGTGACAAGTAGGGTGAGACCAAAGGGAAGATAAGACCCTAAAAATCTAGCCCTGGGGATTGCCAGCCTCTTCCCTCCACACTTTCCCTGCCCTACCCTACCCATGTCGCTTCCTTCCCCCAGGGCCCTCTGGCCACTCACCGCAGGTGAAGTATAGGATAAGCACCAGCCAACCAATGAAATAGCTCCAGCCTATGGGGATGGATACATTCCTTTCCAACTCGAAGATCCAGATGTTAATGGGGAATAGCATGAGGGTGGAGAAGATGAAGGTGACTAGGAGACAGGAGGCAGAGGGTCTCATTGTCATACAAGAGTCCCACAGGAGGTTCTTCCTCATCTGCTAGGCTACAGCCACAAACCACATCACCACACACAGAGTGACTGGCCCTGAGGTTCCAGGAGTCAACCCCTGCATTTCTACCTCTCCTGTGACCAAGAAATGATGTAACTCGATTCTCGGTTCTGTTCTCCCACCACCCACAAAACCCTCATACCACCCCCAAAGAAGAGGGAGAAGTGCCCAGGAAGATGGGGGTTAGGAAAACAAAGGACCTTTCCAGAGCTAGGAGGCACCTTCACAGAAGCTCAAGATGGTCCCGAAGCCCACAAAGGGCAATTTTTGAACAGCGGGCAGGTAGGGCAGGTGCAACCAGATGGTGAGGACGAGGCCCAGCCCCAGGGTCAGGTTGAAGCTTAACTTAGCCACCTTAAACATGGGCTGATTGTCCACAGCTTAAAACTGCCTGGGGAAAATGACAAACAAACAAGATCAACTAAGGATTTACAAAAGATGAAACATAATCAAATGAGCAAATACAAGAAAATGTACCGCCAGGCGCGGTGACTCACGCCTGTAATCCTAGCACGTTGGGAGGCCGAGGCAGGTGGATCACAAGGTCAGGAGTTCAAGACCAGCCTGGCCAACATAGCGAAACCCCGTCTCTACTAAAAATACAAAAATTAGCTGGGCATGGTGGTGCATGCCTGTAGTCTCAGCTACTCCGGAGGCTGAGGCAGGAGAATCGCTTGAACCTGGGAAGCGGAGGTTGTGGTGAGCCACTGCACTCCAGCCTGGGCAACAGAGCGAGACGCCGCCTGCAAAAAACAAAAAACAAAAAAGACAGAAAGAAAATGTACAGACCCATTAATAATCAGAGAAATGCACATTTGAAATAAAAATGAAATATTGCTTTCACTTCTTAAACAATCCGAGATCCTTGATATGGATATTGTTTGATAACCTCAACCACATGCAAATGAATACCTCAACAGAAAAAATGTACAGAGGACTTAAACTGCAATTCTCCAAAGAAGGAGTACAAATGTCTGATAAACATATAAAGCTCAACACAAAGAATTGCTAATTAAATGTGATTTGTGAAAAACCATCGAGGCTGAGCATGGTGGCTCGCACCTGTAATCCCACCACTTTGGGAAGCTGAGGTGGGAGGATCTCTTGAGCCTGAGGGTTTGAGAGCAGCCTGGACAACATAGGGAGGCCCTGTCTCTTTAAAAATATACAATTGGTGTCGGGTGCAGTGGCTCACCCCTGTAATCCTAGCACTTTGGGAGGCCGAGGTGGGCAGGTCACTTGAGATCAGGAGTTCGAGACCAGCCTGGGCAACATGGTGAAACCCCATCGCTACTAAAAATATAAAAATTAGCTGGGCATGGTGGCATGCGCCTGTAATCCCAGCTGCTGGGAAGCTGAGACAAGAGAATCGCTTGATCCCAGGAAGCTGAGGTTGCAGTCTATATATATATAGACACACACACACACACACACACACACACACACACTTGGCTGGGTGCGGTGGCTCACACCTGTAATCCCAGCACTTTGGGAGGCCGAGGTGGGCAGATCACGAGGTCAGGAGATCGAGACCATCCTGACCAACATGGTGAAACCCCATCTCTACATACATATATATAAACTGTCAAATTAGCAAAGATCAAAATAAGATTGATAACACCTAGTATAGGAGAGTATGTAGAGAAAAGAGGTCCTCTCATACGCTCCTGGTGGGCAGCATTTGTGGTGAATGATCTGGTACAAAAGATCCAGAAAATCTACATTCTTTGACCCTACAATGCTTCTTCTTGGAATTTATGTTAAGGAATAATCAGAGATCTGCAGCAAAATCTCAGTACAGGAATCTTCTTTGCAGAGATATTAATATGTCGGCTGGGTGTGCTGGCTCACGCCTATAATCCCAGTACTTTGAGAGGCTGAGGTGGGCGGATCACTTGAGGTCAGGAGTTTGAAACCAGCCTGGCCAACATGGTAAAAACCCCGTCTCTACTAAAAATACAAAAATTAGCCAGGTGTAGTGGCACCTGTCTGTAGTCTCAGCTACTGGGGAAACTGAGGTGGAAGGATCACTTGAGCCCAGGAAGCAGGGGTTGCACTGAGCCGAGATCATGCCACTGCACACCAACCTGGGCAACAGAGCAAGACTCCATCTCAAAAAAAAAAAAAAATGTCCAATAAGCTCCTTGATTTAGAAGAGATTTGTAAAATAAATTATACTATCCCCATACATTGTGTTATTGTGTGTTCATTTAAAATGGTGATAGGTGATAGACTGGGCACAATGGCTCACACCGGTAATCCCAACACTTTGGGAGGTGGAGGCAGGAGAATCACTTGAGCCCAGGAGTTGGAGACCAGCCTGGGCAACAGAGGGAGACCCTGGTCTCTACAAATTAAAAAAAAAAAAGTAGCCAGGCATGGTGGCATCTGTGGTGCCAGCTACTTGGGAGCTTCAAGGTGGGAGGATCACTTGGGCCCAGCAGTTTGAGGCTGCAGTGCAATAAACTACAATCACACCACTGCAGTCCATCCTGGGTGACGGAGTGAGACACTGTCTCAAAATAAAAATAAAAATAGATGCTTGTCTCTGAATAGAGTGTCTCTGGAAAGAAACAGGAGAAACTAGGGAGGGAGACTGGATACTAAGAGATAACAGACTCACTTCAGTATACAATCTTTTGTATTCTTTGAATTTTCACTGTTTATACACACCTAATCCTAATTAAATAAATTTTAAAAATCAGTGATGTTTGGCCGGATGCGGTGGCTCACGCCTGTAATCCGTGAGCCGAGGCACTTTGGGAGGCCGAGGCAGGCGGATCATCTGAGGTCAGGAGTTCAAAACCAGCCTGGCCAACATGGTGAAACTCCGTCTCTACTAAAAATACAAAAATTAGCTGGGCATGGTGGTGGGCGCCTGTAATCCCATCTACTTGGGAGGCTGAGGCAGGATAATCGCTTGAAACCGGGAGGCAGAGGTTGCAGTGACCTGAGACCGCAACTGCATTCCAGCCTGGGCAACAAAGCAAGACTCTGTCTCAAATAAATAAATAAATAAAAATAAAAAGCCTGGCTGTCTTTGAGTAACTCCGTAGAGCAAGGCGCCTATGTGAGTTTTAGAGCCAGGCACACCTGAGTTGCAATTCCAACCCTGCCATTATTAGGTTGATCCATGTGAAATTCTCCTTTTGTAGGTGAAAAGCAGTCAAATATTAGCATGTCATTTGGTTCAATCTAAATAGCTTTATGACCCTGAGCAAGGTACTTAATCTCTCTGAGTCCCAATTTTCTCATCTCTAAAATAGGGATAATTATCCCTATCCCTTAGGATTGACTAAGGACTAAATTGAACAAATGGAGTAAGTGTACAATAAAGGATAGCTTTTGTTTCCCCAAATTTATTATAATAAGGACATAATATTTTCATAATGCTTTCATAATTCATTATATGAATATTTTCATATTCATATGATAAGGACATAATACTTTCAGAAAATAATAGCTGTGTGATTTTTTTCATGCTAAGGAGAGTGAAAAAATGGAAATAAGGGTCAAAAGCTCTGGTTTTCCCCAGGAGCAGGGAAAGAACTCCAAATTCCTGAGGGGTGAGGGAACAGCATAACCAGAGACTAACAACAATAAGAACCAGGTGTGGTGGCCACGGCCTGTAGTCTGAGCTTCTCCGGAAGTTAAAGCAGGAGGATCCCTTGAGCCTGGAAGTTCGAGGCTGCAGTGAGCTATGATTGCACCACTGTACTCCAGCCTGGGTGACAGAGTGAGACCTTGTCTCTAAAAAAATCAGCGAAACAAACAGAAAAAAACAAGGATGAGGAATGAAGCAGCTGCAAGAATTCAGGGAAAGAAGGAACACAGAAGCCAGATGTGGAAAAAGGAAAATGATCCAGAAAAGCAAGGCCTGAGGCAGAAGGAAAGGAGAATGTGTGGGATCAGGGCCTGAGAGGGGACATTGCAAGGAGTCCTCTCAAAGCTCTGGGTACACAAGACTAAGGAAACCCCCATCTCACTGGGGCTCTTGTCCCTGGTAAATTAGGCGATTAATGAATGATTCTCTTGTGCTGAGTCCATGCCCCTCGTAACTTTTTTTTTTTTTTGAGACAGAGTTTTACTCTTGTTGCCCAGGCTGGAGTGCAATGGTGCGGTCTCGGCTCACCGCAACCTCCACCTCCCGGGTTCAAGCAATTCTCCTGCCTCAGTCTCCAGAGTAGCTGGGATTACGGGCATGTGCCACCACGCCTGGCTAATTTTTTGTATTTTTAGTAGAGACGGGGTTTCACTATGTTAGCCAGGATGGTCTCGATCTCCCAACCTTAGGTGATCTGCCTGCTTTGGCCTCCCAAAGTGCTGGGATTACAGGTGTGAGACGCAGTGCCCAGCCTGATTTTTTTTTTTTTTTTTTTGAGACAGGAGTCTCACTAAATTGCCCAGGCTGGACTCAAATTCTTGGGCCCAAGCAATCCTCCCACCTCAGCCTCCTGGATAGCTGAGACTACAGGTGTGCAGCACCATGCCCAACTCTCTCACAGCATTCTTAGAAGCACAGATTTGGCTCTGGGTTTTATCAAAAGCAGTGACATTTTCCATTGCACCAATCAAATCTATTTAGCCAGGCTACAGGATGAGAAACGATCATCGGAGGTCTCAGTGCCAGTGGAACCATCTTGCAGGCCAAAAAGTAAAGATGACCAGAAAGAGGGAACAAGAATACATCCAGGGTGCAGATACAGAGGCCAAGACAGGCTGGCGGCCTGGGCTGGGATGGGGGGTGGAGGGGCTCACCTTTCCCATTCTCTAAGTCAGAACAGCTCCTGGATTTGTAAAAGTGCAGGAGCCCCATGGACATAACGTGGGCTGATGTGTGGATTCTGTTGCTGACATCCACGGGCCAGCGCTGGTAGAAGAGGCTCCTAGAGAGGTCCAGCCATTTCTTGGAGAAGGCCACGACCAATAGTAGGATAAAGGCAACCAGGCTGAGCTCAGAGGCCAACACCTGGGCCATCCAGCGGAAGCTGTGTGTGATTCTCCATTGAAAGGGCAGCGGAGAGTTCTGGCGCTGGCCCAAGGACCTGTTACTACTGAGGGAGAGGGTGGAGGACAGCAGTCTCCCATCTTGTCCCAGCTCACCTGTGCCCCATCCTGCCTCCCCACTCTTCCTTTCCTTTCCAGGTCTCTGATGTTGGTCTCTTTCTCCTTCTGACCTGGGGAACTCATTCCCAGAGTACTCTGCATCCATCTTGAGCACCACTTCACCCTCTGTCTCCCCTTTCCCTCACCAGACTCAATTGTCTCTTCTCATCTTTTGGATATTTTCATCAGCTGCCACCATGCAGCCTGAGGTCTGAGAAAGAATGAGGAAGTCTAATAACAGACCTCGATCAAATAAGAGACTCTTGATCCAAGAGAAGGCCCCAACCCATTCAGCAGGCCAGGTCCCCTAACTGCCACGGAATTTTCCTGGGGCACAGTGAGATGGGGGAGGGAAGCCAAGTCTTCAGCAATTTTTTTTTTTTTTTTTTTTTTTTTTAGAGAGAGAGACAGGGTCTCCCTCTATTGCCCAGGCTGGGATGCAGTGGCACAACCTTGGCTCACTGCAACCTTGAACTCCTGGGTTCAAGTGATCCTCCCACCTCAGCCTCCTGAGTAGCTGGGATTACAGGATTGTGCCAGCATGCCTGGCTAATTTTTCAATTGTTTGTAGAGATGGGGTCTTGATATGTTACCCAGCCTGGTCTCAAACTCCTGGCCTCTGCCAGGCACGGTGGCTCACGCCTGTAATCACTGCACTTTGGGAGGCCGAGGTGGGTGGATCACCTGAGGTCGGGAGTTCGAGACCATCTTGACCAACATGGAGAAACCCCATCTCTACTAAAAATACAAAATTAGCTGGGCGTGGTAGCACATGCCTGTAGTCCCAGCTACTCAGGAGGCTGAGGCAGGAGAATTGCTTGAACCTGGGAGGCGGAGGTTGCGGTGAGCCGAGATCGCACCATTGCACTCCAGCCTGGGCAACAAGAGTGAAACTCAGCCTCAAAAAAAAAAAAAAAAAACTCCTGGCCTCATGAGATCCTCCCCACTTGGCCTCCCAAAGCACTGGGATTACAGGTGTGAGCCACCTTGCCTGGCCTGTGGCTCCAGCTCTAACTCTTTCCGGAAATCCTGTTTCTCAGGCCACAGCTCAGAACTGTGGATCTGACACCTCCCTCCAGCTTCTGCCTCCCTTTACATATGAGCAATGGTATGTGAGAGGCCCTCCTGTGGTCTGCATATGGTTAATTTGTCTTCACCAAACCTCATGCTGAAATTTGCTCCCCAGTGTGGTGGTGATGGGAGGTGAGAGGGCCTAGTGGGTGGTGTTTGGGTCATGGGGGCAGATGCCTTGTGATTGGATTAACGCCTTCCCTGAGACCTCACTCCATTAGCTCCCCGCAATAGCTGGTTGTTAAAAAGAACCTGGCGCTGTTACCAAGCAAAAGTGCTCGCTGCCAGATGTGCATAGAAGCCAATACTCCAATACTAGGGCACTAGGTTTTGAGAAAAGGAAAGCTTTATTGTGAGCTGACCCACGAGGATACGGGAATCCAGCTCAAATCTGTCTCTCTTTGCTGGTCTTAAGGCAGTACTTTTATTAGAAAAGGTTTAGGGGGAGGATTCTGGGATTAGCGGGTGATTGGTGGAAAGAAAGGAGAAGTCTAGAAAGTCCTTAATCATGTCTGGTTATCTCCAAGGTTCTTCGTGGGTTGCATGTGCAAATTTGGTGGCGTTAGTATGAAACAGCAGGTGGAAATTCAGGCTGTGACATCAGCAAGCTCGTTCTGTGCGGATTGCTGTCAGCCATACGGGTTCCCACTGATTTCAGCCAGTCCTGTTATAAGCAAAGGGATTTTTCAGCATTTCAGCAAGCTGTTTCTTAGCTGCCATCCTGTAAACTCGAAAATGTCTGTTAATCACTGGTTTATTTAACTGTTTGGGGCACAGTTTCAGCTCCTCCCTTACCTTGTGATCTCTGCACAAGCCAGCTCCCCCTTGCCTCCACCATAAGTGAAAGCAGCCTGACGTCCTCAACAGATGCCCAATCTTGAGCTTTCTGGCCATCAGAATTGTGAGCCAAATAGCCCTTTTTTCTTTATAAATTATTCACCCTCAGGTATTCTGTTATAGCAACACAAAATGGACTAGGACAGTCCCCTTTTCTCTTCCTAGTTCCTCTGCCCTAACCCCAACCCCAAATGCTCACTGATGGAGCAGGGGGAGGGAGCAGGAGCTTATCCCCAGGAAAAGATCCTCCCTCCATTGTTCTTTGGACATGTCTTGCAAAGATGTCATCGAGCTTCCCATTGCTTTCCCCAACCCTTCACCTCCCTCCCAGCTCTACTCACTGCTAGTCAATCACCACCAGTTCCTTCCCTCTTCTTTTGACTTTTCTTTTTCCTTTCTTTTTTTTCTCAGCACCAGAAAGAGGAGGATGTAGGATGAGAATGGGTCCTAGAGGTGTCATGCCTTCTGAGATTGTTATAATTTTATTTATTTATGTATTTATTTATTGAGACAGTCTTCCTTCATCACTCAGGCCAGAAGGAGTCTCTGTCTAAAAAAAAAGAACATAGGCTTTGGGGTCCAACAGGCAAAGGTATGAAAAATGGGTCTTCCCCGCCTTTTTTTTTTTTTTTTTTTGAGATGGGATTTCACTCTTGTTGCCCAGGCTAGAGTGCAATGGCGCCATCTTGGTCAGCTAACTGCAACTTCCGCCTCCTGGGTTCAAGCAATTCTCCTGCCTCAGCCTCCCAAGTAGCTGGGATTACAGGAATGAGCCACCACGCCCAGCTAATGTTTTGTATTTTGTAGAGACAGGATTTCACCATGTCAGTCAGGCCGGTCTCAAACTCCTGACCTCAGGTGATCCACCTGTCTCAGCCTCCCAAAGTCTTGGGATTACAGGTGTGTGCCACCACATGCAGCCGGGTCTTCCTCTTAATAGCCCTGTGAACCTGGATGTCATATAGCTTCCTTATGCCTCAGTTTACTCATCTGTAACACAGGAACAATATTTTTCTCATAGACTTGGTAAGAGTGCTGAATGAGATAATGATCAAAAAGCACTCACTAGTTCATAGTAAATTCCCAGCAACTGGTAATTATGTTGTTAAATTATCATTTTAATTGTTTTTACAGTCTTTCACTAGCAAACAGGGAAAGAGCAAAAATGCAGAAGATAATTCCTGGCAAGCATCCTTGCCAGTCAGTGGCATCTGCAAATCATGGAACAGATTAACTCTCCAAATTAACTCTCCTTGTAAGCAAAAGGAGAGTGAACTATGAATCCTGATGTCACCTGTGCAGTGGGACCTCAGGAATGGTTGAAAGTTGAAATTCAAAGCCTGTGAGGGCGCTTCTTCTGGCTGTGGTCTCTGCCCCTCCCTGGGCGTCTTCCTCTGTCTCTGCAGACCAGCCTCTTCCTCTGCTCTGGTCCACATGGTGGGAAACATGGCCCTCACACTCCAAGCTGTGTATCAGACCCCTCCAGCTGCTGGAGGGGAGACCTCTCAGTCCCAAGTCCAAGCATTCTCTGGCCCTGCCAGGGACGAGTGTCATCCTTAGAACAAGCAGCTACAGTTGGGGCACTGGGTCAGAAGACAGAATCTTTTTTTTTTTTTTTTTTGAGACAGGGTCTCACTCTGTCGTCCAGGCTGGAGTGCAGTGGTGCAAGCTCCGCCTCCCGGGTTCATGCCATTCTCCTGCCTCAGCCTCCCGAGTAGCTGGGACTACAGGTGCCCACCACCACGCCTGGCTAATTTTTTGTATTTTTAGTAGAGATGGGGTTTCACCGTGTTAGCTAGGATGGTCTCGATCTCCTGACCTCGTGATCTGCCCGCCTCGGCCTCCCAAAGTGCTGGGATTACAGGCATGAGCCACCACACCCAGCCAGAAGACAGAATCTTGAAGATGGGAGAAGGAGGGGAGAACACTGGGAGAGGGGGTGGTGGGCCTGCTGGGAATGTCATTTACACAGAGCCAGTGTCGTCAGGATTGGGCTTCCTCCCTCGAATCCTCTTTAGTTTTTAAGTTTTTCCTGGAGTTTCTTTTTTTTTTTTTTTTTTTTTGAGACGGAGTCTCACTCTGTCCCCCAGGCTGGAGTGCAGTGGTGTGATCTCAGCTCACTGCAACCTGTGCCCCCACCGGTTCAAGCAATTGTCCTGCCTCAGCCTCCCAAGTAGCTGGGATTACAGGTGCCCGCCACCACGCCCAGCTAATTTTTTGTATTTTTAGTAGAGACGGGCTTTCACCACGTTGGCCAGGTGGGTCTCAAACTCCTGACCTCGTGATTCACCCGCCTCGGCCTCCCAAAGTGCTGGGATTACAGGCATCAGCCACTGCACCCAGCTTTTTCCTGGAGTTTCTAAGGGTTTTTAATAATAAGCATTTCTCACAGCAACACACAACACAGAAGAATCTTGGAAATAGAATGTTTCCTGAAAAATGTAACCCCCAGAAGACTACACAGTACATATGATGCCATTTTTATAGAGCCTATAACCAAGCTCAACAACCAATGCATTGTTTAAGCTTATGTAAGCTTATGATTGCATGGTAGTTTTTAAAAAGCAGTGGCACAGTAAACATGAAATATCATATGATGGTTACTTCTCAAGAAGGCATAGGAGTGAGATGAGGAATGTTACACGAGCACATATGCATTATTAATAAGAGTCTAGTTCCTGAGTTGGGTGATAGGTGCAGGCATATTCTTTTTTTTTTTTTTTTTTTTTTTTTTTTTTTGAGACAAATCTCGCTCTGTCACCTAGGCTGGAGTGCAGTGACACTATCATAGCTGAACTCCTGAGCTCAAGCAATCCTCCCACTTCAGCCTCCCAAGTAGCTGGGACTACAGGTGTGGTGGTGCACCTGGGCTCAAGCGATCTTCCTGCCTTGGCCTGGGATTACAGCTCGTGCTGGGATTACACGCACAAGCCACTGTGCCTGGCCAGGTATTTATTATATTATAATCATTTACAGCTAACATAGATTTCATAATATCTTGTGAATGTATCAAACATTGTCTTTCAGAAGGTAATTACAAATAGTTCAAGAAAGGAAATGTAATCTAAGTGATTACTAGCTCTGCAACAAAAGATATTTATATAGTCACAATGTATAAGGTAAACACTGTTCATTGCCTTTCAACTCTTAGAATCAACAGATGGACAAAGCAAGGAAGACTTAATTATAGCCACAAAAGTAAATGTAACTGTCATTGGCCTTGATGTTGCACAAGCAAAAGCCTAGAAGACGGAGACTGAAAGGTGGAAGGAGGAGAAGAGAGCTGAAGGGAAGCCATCCACTAGTAACACAGGGAGAATTGACAAATTTCCTAGCTTCCTTGCTCCTAGGTTGGGATATCTCTAACACATGTCCTACATCAGGAGCTGACAAACTTTTTCTGTAAAAAAAAAAATCCAGATAATAGGCCGGGCACAGTGGCTCACGCCTGTAATCAGCACTTTGGGAGGCCGAGGTGGGTAGATCACGAAGTCAAGAGTTCAAGACCAGCCTGGACAACATGGTGAAACCCTGTCTCTACTAAAAATACAAAAAAAACAAAAAACAAAAAAAAAAACAGCCAGGCGTGGTGACTCATGCCTGTAATCCCAGCTACTCAGGAGACTGAGGCGGGAGAATTGCTTGAACCCGGGAGGCGGAGGTTGCAAATGAGCAGAGATCGCGTCACTGCACTCCAGCCTGGGAGTCAGAGTAAGACTCTCTCAAAAACAAAAAAAAGTTAAAAATAAATAAGTAAATACTTTAGGCTTTGCAAGCCATACAGTCTCTATCACAACTATTCCACTTGGCTATTATACTGTGAAATCAGCCACAGACCATATATAATTGAATAGGAGCAGCTGTTCTGATAAAACTATTTTATGGCCCAGGCCACAGTTTGTTCAACCCTGCTCTATGCTGTCACCCAGAGTTCCCCAGTGGGATCAATCTCTAGTTGCTCATAGTAGAAACTGGTTTTGTACCCCACCTTACTGACTTTCTTCCCTTCCCTATCTCAGTTTCTTACACCTTTACTATTGTATCATGGGGTTACCTCCCTGTTAACTACCTGTTCTCAAATCGTTGTCTCAGGGTGTGCTTCTGGGAGAACCCAAATGAACACAGGTAAGAACTGTTATTATCAGTGTTTTGTTTTGTTTTGTTTTGTTTTGTTTTGTTTTGTTTTGTGAGTCGGAATCTCACTCTGTCGCCCAGGCTGGAGTGCAGTGGCGCAATCTTGGCTCACTGCAAGCTCCGCCTCCCGGGTTCACGCCATTCTCCTGCCTCAGCCTCCCGAGTAGCTGGGACTACACGTGCCCGCCACCATGCCCGGCTAATTTTTTGTATTTTTAGTAGAGATAGGGTTTCACCGTGTTAGCCAGGATGGTCTCGATCTCCTGACCTCGTGATCCGCCCACCTCGGCCTCCCAAAGTGCTGGGATTACAGGCGTGAGCCACCGCGCCCGGCCTATTACAGTGTTTTTCAGCAGAAAAAACTGAGGCACAAAGGCTAAGTCATTTGCTCTAAGTCACAGAGCCAGCATTTGAACTGTCCAGTCTCACGCCGGATATATTCAAAGCATCCTGGAAAATCTGCAGAGCAGGGTAGGCGGACAGTGGTCAGAGGAGTGGGGATCGCCCCCAGCATGAGAAGAATGCTCCAGAGTAGTTGAGAGGACAGAGACAGACATGCACTTGCTCCTTGCAGCACCATCAGGGAAGCCGCCAACACCAGGGAATGATGATTACAGAGCATCTAGACATACTGGAACTTGGGCAGCTTCCCAAAATAGTCTCATGGCCCAAACATGACTTGGAAGCAGCAGAGAGCCACCAGATCTAAAGAGACCTCATGGCCAGGCATGGTGGCTGACACCTGTAATCCCAGCACTTTGGGAGGCTGAGGCAGATGGATTGCTTGAGGCAGGAGTTCGAGACCACCCTGACCAACATAGCAAAACCCTATCTCTACTAAAAATACAAAAATCAGCTGAGCATAATGGCACACACCTGTAATCCCAGCTTCTTGAGAGACTGAGGCAGGAGGATTGCTTGAACCCAAGAGGCAGAGGTTGCAGTGAGCCAAGATCGCACCACTGCCCTCCAGCCTGGGTAACAGAACAAGACTTTGTCCAAAAAAAAAAAAAAAAAAAAAAAAAAAAGGCCTAGTCTGGAGACAGCCCTGGTCCAACTGCAGAAGTTGAACAAGCCAAAGATTCACTTTCCCAACTACTGATCTAATTACATGACCTAGGATCAACCAAACAGACACAATGTCCCCGGACTTAAACTTGGGAGCCAGTGACACAAAGCAGGGACAGAGAAGAGTCTATTTTACAGTGGTGACAGCAGCAGGGGCAGGAGTGGCACTGTCAGCAGTACAAGCAGCAGCATCTGTTGTGAGCATTCCTGTCACTGTGGGCTTTGTTGTCATGCTGACCAGGACACCCAGTGGCGGGGGGGTGAAGGTCGTGTGAATCTACGGTGCATGCTTGACAGACCAGTTCTGCGGAGTGTTTTTGGTGGTAGCTTGGACTGTGTTACCTCCCACACTCCTGCCTGTTTTATAGGCTCGATTCTCCAGCTTTTCTGGAGACTCGGTGACTATCCAATATCCTGTCCGCAAACACCATTTTCTACAAACATCACCAAAGTTGTATTCTGCTGCTTATAACCATAATCCTGACTGATCCATTTTTCCTTTTGGGAAGTGCTCCTCCATCCTTAGCTTAATAATATGTATTAGGAGGAAGCATTTATTTCCTATTCATATTTCCAGGTAGATAGAAGAAAACCCCTAACTTCTCTCCCTACTTCTTCTTCTTTCCTCCTGCAAAGAAGATGGAGCACCTTATCTGACTGGTGAATGTAGCAGTCAGGATAGGCAAGGTTATGCTGTGGTAACAAGCAACTGCAAAATCTCAGTTGCTTAAAACAGCAAATATTTCTTCGTTGCTCAAGCTCCATGTCACTGTTTGTTGTCTTGGGGCTCCTCTCCATGTCGTCCTCATTCCAGAACATAGGATAATGAAGCAGGTACCACCTGGACCACTAACTGTTGCCATATCAAGTGGAAAAAGAGTTTGTGCAGCCAATCAACCACAGGCTCTTAAAGCTCCCAGCTGGAGGTGACACGCGTCACAACTAATGACATGTAACTGGCTAAAGCAAGTAACATACCTGCACTTCACTCTAAGAGGGAGCCCACCATGTTCCCAGAAGAAGAAATGCAGCTATTTCATTAATGGGACAAATAATTAACATAGTGGGTTTGGGATGAAGGGACATGTGGTGGTTCAGCTTCATCTGGGTTCTCTTTTGGCAACCTGCTCACCTGGAACGGGCATGTGTTCCTGCCTGTTCTTGGTCACACAGTAAAAGCTCCCCAGGACTAGGCAATCAAGGGTGAATTTTTTTTTTTTTTTTTTTTGAGACGGAGTTTCACTCTGTTGCCCAGTTTGGAGTGCAATGGGGTGATCTCGGCTCACCACAACCTCCGCCTCCCGGGTTCAAGTGATTCTCCTGCCTCAGCCTCCTGAGTAGCTGGGATTACAGGCATGCGCCACCACGTCCGGCTAATTTTGTATTTTTAGTAGAGATGGGGTTTCTCCATGTTGGTCAGGCTGGTCTCGAACTCCCGACCTCAGGTGATCCACCCGCCTCGGCCTCCCAAAGTGCTGGGATTACAGGCAGGAGCCACAGCACCCAGCAAGGGTGAATTATTAAAAAGCCAATTTGACCAGAGAAAATAAAGCCACATTTACAAACATCTTTACCAGTAATAATGGTACTATTTTGATCTACATATGCTTGTCTCCTATTGGTTGATGCCTGAAAACTCATCACTGTGGTTCCAGTGGGGGCTGCAAAGTGGTGAACACGTGACCCAAACTCAAAATGATTGACCCACGGCCGGGCGCGCAGTGGCTCACACCTGTAATCTCAGCACTTTAGGAGGCCAAGGCGGGCGGATCACCTGAGGTCAGGAGTTCGAGACCAGCCTGACCAACATGGTGAAACCCCATCTCTAGGCCAGGTGCGGTGGCTCATGCCTGTAATCCTAGCACTTTGGGAGGCTGAGGCGGGCGGATCACGAGGTCAGGAGATCGAGACCATCCTGGCCAACACGGTGAAACCCCGTCTCTATTAAAAATACAAAAAATTAGCCAAGCGTGGTGGCAGGCGCCTGTAGTCCCAGCTACTCGGGAGGCTGAGGCAGGAGAATGGCATGAACCCGGGAGGCGGAGCTTGCAGTGATCCGAGATCGTGCCACTGCACTCCAGCCTGGGTGACAGAGCAAGACTCCGTCTCAAAAAAAAAAAAAAAAAAAAAGAAACCCCATCTCTACTAAAAATACAAAAATTAGCCAGGCATGGTGACGCACGCCTGTCCTCCCAGCTACTTGGGAGGATGAGGCAGGAGAATCACTTGAACCCAAGAGGCAGAGGTTGCAGTGAGCTGAGATTTCACCACTGCACTCCAGCCTGGGCAACAGAATGAGATCCATCTCAAAAAAAAAAAAAAAATGGTTGACCCAAGCTAGATCCTTCCAGAGTTCTGCCCTGGGACTTTGTAATTGAAGTCAAGTGCAAAGTCGGTGGTGAAACTATGAGGCTGAACTATGAGTCTATGAGAAATTCCTTTCATTCTGGGGGAATCCCACTCCTCTGCCCACTGACCCCCGCCCCTACCCTGCTGATTCTCAAAGTATTATTTCAGAATCTACATGCAAATAATACTTTGAATATTACATTCAAAGTATTAGAGTCACTTAACTAATACTTTGTGATACCCACATATATGTATGTGTGAATGTATCTGTGTGTATGTGTACGTACATATATAATGATATGTAGATGCGTATATATACACACATATAAATGTTATCCATGAATCATATATAAGTACTACTACACTAACAGCTTTAAACATCTACAATAATATATTTTATAAAGGGCATAATGAGTAGAAATATGGTACCGGGCGTGGTGACTAATGCCTGTAATCCCAGCACTTTGGGAGGCTGAGGTGAGCAGATCACTTGAGGTCAGGAGTTTAAGACCAACCCAAACAATATGGTGAAACCCCGTCTCTTCTAAAAATACAAAAATTAGCCAGGAGTGATGGCACACACCTATAATCCCAGCTACTCAGGAGGCTGAGGCAGGAGAATCACTTGAACCCAGGAGGTGAAGGTTGCAGTGAGCTGAGATCGTGCCACTGCACGCCAGCCTGGGCAACAGAGCAAGACGCCGTCTCAAAATAAAAAGATTAAAAATATGAAATCTTTTTAAATATTTATTTATCGTCCCCATGGATCATCATATATATGCTGCTTCCAGAACACTTTGAATATATCCAGAACTCTCGAGTGAGACTGTCAGATGCAAATGCTGTCTCTGCCAATTGCTAGCTCTGTGAACCTGAAATACTTGACCTCTTTGTGCCTCAGTTTCTTCTGAGAGAATGAAACCAACATGCAACGTTCTGTATTTTCATTCTGGTATTCTTTTATTTATTTTTTCCTTAGAATTGTCCATGTCAATCTGTCGTGATTTTACTCTCACAAAGACAAATCAAAAATCATTAAAACAGCTTTTCTTTCAGCAGCATAATGATGGTATTTAGTATTTCACAAAATGAAGCACTGTAATTCCAGCTTGCTTTTCACTCTGACATTCTAAATGCCCAATCTAGTCTTTTTTTTTTTTTTTTTTTTTTTTGAGACAGCGTTTCACTCTTGTTGCCCAGGCTGGAGTGCAGTGGTGCCATGTTGCCTCACTGCAAACTCCGCCTCCCGGGTTCAAGCGATTCTCCTGCCTCAGCCTCCCAAGGAGCTGGGATTGCAGGCATGTGCCACCACACCAAACTAATTTTTGTATTTTTAGTAGAGACGGGATTTCACCATACTGGTCAGGCTGGTCTCGAACTCCTGACCTCAAGTGATCCACCCGCCTCGGCCTCCCAAAGTGCTGGGATTACAGGCGTGAGCCACCGCGCCCGGCCTGGTCTCGTCTTAAATAAAATGGCAAGCCATGATGAGGACCAAATTGAAGCAACTTTGGCGAAGTTACCTATTGTAACAAGCAGGCCGACTTGAGGTGGACCTGCCCACCTCAGATTTGCATCCTACCATTTGGGAATTCATTGCGTGATCCACAGAGTCTGAACAGGAAGGCACACAGGAGAGGAAGAGCTGCCAGTGAGATAAATGGCCTCTCTGGAATAGCTAAGAGTACAATTGTATTGTGGATTATCTGAATCAGTTAGGACTCTGTAGCTAATAAAAGAAAGGAGATTCAAACTGGTTTAAGGGATAAAGGGAATTTAATGACCTATAGAACTGAAAAATCCAGGCTGGTCTCAGTGGCTCGTGCCTGTAATCCCAGCACTTTGTAAGGCCCAGGCGGGCAGATCGCCTGAGGTCAGGAGTTTGAGACCAGCCTGGCCAACATGGTGAAACTTCATTTCTACTAAAAATACAAAAATTAGTGGGGCATGATCGCAGGCGCCTGCAATCCCAGCTACTCAGGAGGCTGAGACAACAGAATCACTTGAACCCAGGAGGCAGAGGTTGCAGTGAGCCAAGATCATGCCATTGCACTCCAGCCTGGGTGACAGAGTGTGACTCCATCTAAAAAAAAAAAAAAAAAAAAAAAATTAGCTGGGCATGGTGGCGCATGCCTGTAGTCCCAGCTACTAGAGAGGCTGAAGTATGAGAATAGCTTGAACCTAGGAGGCAGAGGGTTGCAGTGGGCCGAGATCGTGCCACTTCCTTCCAGCCTGGGCAACAGTGCGAGATCCTGCCTCAAACAAACAAACAAACAAAAATAACTGAAAAATCAAGATAAAAGCTTCAGATGAGACTTGATCCTGGAACTCAAGTGATGATAACAAGGACCTGGCTTTCCCCTTGTCTCTCCATTTCCAGTTTTGTGGTGTTGGCTCCTTCATCAGGCTGTATCCAGTGGCCTCCCCAGCAACTCCAAGCTGCCTCTCACTGCACTAAAATGGCAGCCACTGATCCAAACCTTATATCCTCACACTGCAATGTCCAGGGGAAGAGAGAATGGCTCATTCAAGTGGCTCTTGGGTGGGTCTCGAATTAACTGTCTCTGAACTCATTGATCCAAATTGGGACACATACCCATCTCGACCCAATCACAATAACCAAGGGTTGTCGTAAATCAAGGAAGAGTAGCTGGGCGCAGTGCCTCCCCTGTAATCCCAGCACTTTGGGAGGTCGATGGGGGTAGATCATGAGGTCAAGGGTTCAAAACCAGCCTGGCCATATGGTGAAGCCCCGTCTCTACTAAAAATATAAAAAATTAGCCGAGTGTGGTGGCGCACGCCTGTAGTCCCAGCTACTCGGGAGGCTGAGGCAGGAGAATCGCTTGAACCCAGGAGGCGAAGGTTGCGGTGAGCCGAGGTCACGCCACTGCACTCTAGACTGGGTGACAGTGTGAGACTCCGTCTAAAACAAAAACAACAACAACAACTCAGGGTCACTTTCAAATCCAATTTTTAGTCAATATTTTGTATTCTTTATTGTTAAGGTTCCCCAAAAGTCTGGATTCAATCCCAACGCTTTCTCACAGAGGGCAGCTTCAGGTTTCTAACAGTGGACGGAGTGAGAGAGGCTTCGGGTCAGCGGTGGTTGTGAGGCAGTTTGGGCGCAGCCCACGGCTTCATGCCCCGCGGCGGGGGCACGTGCAGGCACCAGCTTGAAAAACTCCATCGGGCGTGGAGCTGACCCATTCGGGTCCGAAGCCAAACCTAGTCGGATCAAGCAGCTGAACGCAGGCCCCGGGACCTGGTGACTGCCGTTGCGACCTCGAGAGTGCTGCGGGTGGGTGGGAAGGAGGAGTGGCTAGCTCTGGGGACGTCGGGCAGTGTTCTGAACAGCGGGAGCCAGTGCCTCAACTTCCCCAGGATTCTTCCGCGGGAGCAGCCCACTCCCATACTCCGCCCCGCGTGGGAGGCGAGCGCTGAGAACCAGGAGACACAGCCAGGCCAGGAGACCCCAGAGTCCAGCCAGAAGACGTGCTGAGACCCCGCTGCAGGAAGCCCTATGGCCGCGCTGCGCTCACTCACTGAGTCCGGGTCTCCGGCAGAGAGACAGGGGCAGCCCCGCGGGAGGGGCGGGCGCGGGGCCAGAGCGGGGCCTGGCCACGTCCGGGAGGATGAACGGAGCCCCGCTAAGGTCGGGAGGACTTCGAGGAGCTCCAGCGCTCTGTTCCCCTTGGTGTCGCCCGAGGCTGATGGAGGGTGGTGAGACCGTGGCTTGGAGACGACGTGCTGGGGAGCAAGGTCGGGAGCCCGCCAGGCTCGCGGTGGAGCTGTCGCTGGAGAGGCACTGCTGCACCGGGACGGTGGGCTGGTGGGCTGGCCACCCTGGAGAACCTGAGCCTGCAGTTACCTCTGTAGCTGAACCTGCGAGTATGGAGGGTTTAGGAAAGAGAAGCTTTCCGAGATGGCTGGAGAGCCAGCCAGGCTGAAGGGCTCCGGAAAGGATCACAGGAAGTGGGCTGGAGGGTTCCTTGCGGGTGGAAGGAGGAGGAGAGAGCTAGTGAGCAGGCTTGGGGGCCGGGGCGTGGGGGGAAGAGGGCGAGGCTCCTCTCTTTCCTCTGTTGCTTGTGGGCATGATTGCAACCCCCACCCCCGTTTATCTGCGATGTTGGCCACTAAGATCTTGACCCGGAGCCCACAGAAGGCCAGCTCAAAGAGAGGCCCGTGCCCTTTACTATCTGCCTTATCTTGTAGGAAAAGAAAAACTTTTTATCTGAGGGGGGCAAGGCTTTTAAAATTATCAGGCCCATAGAGAGGATCGCTTGAGCCCAGGAGTTCCAGACCAGCCTGGGCAACATGGCAAAACGCCGTCTCTACAAAAAATACAGAAATTAGTCGGGTGTGTTGGCTCCTGCCTGTGGTCCCAGCTACTCAGGAAGCTGAGGCAGGAGGATCGCTTGAGCCCAGGAGCTCGAGGCTGCAGTGAGCCAAGATCGTGCCACTGCACTCCCGCCTGGGTGACAAAGCCAAATCTTGTGACAAAAAAAAAAAAAAAAATCAGGGCCAGAGAGGAATTAAAATGAGACAACAGTGACATCCCATTACCCCCTTTGAGCTAGGTATTCACCTCTTTAACTGCTTGCATTGGCTTGCTCTTGCCATAAGTAGCTATGAATTAACCTGGTAATGCCACACTGGACACTATAACCCACCCCCTATAGCTTAACAGTATATAGCCAATCACTAATCAAAGAGCTTCCTTTAAACCAATGAGAATTCCTAACAACTTTGTATCAGCCCACAGCCCACTCCCTGTCCCCCTTTTTTGCCTTTGAAAACCTGCTTGTAACAAAGCCCTAATGGAGCTCATATCCAAGGTTACTTGGGTCTGAGTCTTCCTGGCAGCCGTCCTCCCTTTGTCTTTCGTTTGTTTTTTGTTTTTTGAGACAGAGTCTCGCTCTTGTCACCCAGGCTGGAGTGCAATCACGCGATCTTGGCTCACTGCAACCACTGTCTCCTGGGTTCAAAGGATCCTCCTGCCTCAGCCTCCCGAGTGGCTGGGATTACAGGCGGGCACCACGACACCCGGCTAATTTTTTGTATTTTTAGTGGAGACGGGGTTTCACCATGTTGGCCAAGCTGGTCTCAAAGTCATGACCTCAGGTGATCCACCTGCCTCGACCTCCCAAAGTGTTGGGATTACAGGCGTGAGCCACCATGCCCGGCCCCCTTGGGCTCAAGTAAACTCTTTCAACCATATTTTGTGCCTCAGCCTCTTCCTTTTAGGTTGACAATTGACTCCCAGAATATGGAGGCTTCAGCTATGAGGAGCAGGGCCACGGGTGAAGAGTGTCCACACTGACTCAGAGAAAGGTCCCCAACTGGGGCCAGCTTTCCCACCCTGTCGCCTCAGGCATCTCCCCCCGGGGACGCCTGCACCTTTCCTGAGCCTGTGGAAATGTTGGTTTCTTCCACCTCCCCAGCATGATAGACTGTGAGGGAATAAGGTGATAGTGGCTCTAGGACTCCCCAGCTGACTCAGTGAACCTCTCTGTACTACCCCCACCAGCATGCCTGGAACGCAGACAGGGCACCGCTGAGAGGTTTCTCCCATGGGCCCTCCTACGCCACCTATGAGGAAGTTGCAGGAGGCAACCCAGAGGGGCAGGAAGAACACAGAAGGGAGGGGACACTGGACACCCATAGCAGAGATGCCTGAGGGAGAGGGAGGGAGACAATTTGGAATGAGCTGAGTTACCTCCTGCCACCTGTCCTGCAACACCCCCCATCAGCCTCCCTCTTCTGTCCTCTTTACCCCATCCCCATTCCCATCTTCTGTCTATCCACGCTCTCCTTGCTGTAGTCCTCATTCCCCCACATCCGTTCCTTTCCCATATAGCTGTGTTTCATGCCCTTCGGCCCCCTTAGACAGGCCAGCAGAATGCAGACCCCTCCAGGACAAACACACTCAGGTCACCCCAAAATGGAAAGCAGGCTCTGAGATAACAGAATCCAACCCCCAAAAGTCAGGAAACATGGCAGTCCCCTCCCTTCCTGTCTTCTCAGTCTCTTTTGGAACATATGGTTGTATTTTATACACCTTTATGTCCCAAAATAACCCTTACCTGGTCGGCATCTCCCCATTATCCCACCATCAGAACATCTGAATTGGAGCATGGGGGCTTCCTTAGTGGCAGGACTCCAGTAAGGGATGAGGAGCCAGGAGAGAAGGTGTATGGGGCACGTCTGCCCCCGGATGTCTGTCTGTCTGAGTATCCCAGTGTGTCTCCATCTTATGCCAAAGAGGGAGGGAGACCTTGGTGGGGAGGGGCTCCACCTACCAGGACACTTGAAGGGGCACGTGCACCAATTCCCATCC
Source organism: Homo sapiens (assembly GCF_000001405.40). Taxonomy (NCBI): domain Eukaryota; kingdom Metazoa; phylum Chordata; class Mammalia; order Primates; family Hominidae; genus Homo; species Homo sapiens. The sequence continues at coordinate 8,324,361 of NC_000017.11, read as the reverse complement.
CCACTACCACTACCTTCTGTTCCTGGACTATCGCCCCCTGTTGCCTCCATTCGAATGCTCTTTCCCCAGATCTTCCCAGGGCTACTTCCTCTGGAAGTCATCTGGGTCTCAGTTCAAATGTCATCTCTTCCAGGATCTGCCCTAAAGCCACCACCCTCCCCCAAAACATACACACACAACATTCTATGCCACAGCCCTTGCTGTATTTTCTGCTTACTGCTTACTGATTTTATCTTAGTGCTGTTTTTTTTTGGGGAGGGGAGGGTTTGTTTTGTTTTGTTTTTTGAGATGGAGTTTCACTCTTGTTGCCCAGGCTGGAGTGCAATGGTGCCATCTCGGCTCACTGCAACCTCTGCCTCCCGGGTTCAAGCGATTCTCCTGCCTCAGCCTCCCGAGTAGCTGGGATTACAGGCATGCGCCACCATGCCCGGCTAATTTTGTATTTTTAGTAGAGACGGGGTTTCTCCATATTGGTCAGGCTGGTCTCAAACTCCCAACCTCAGGTGATCCACCCGCCTTGGCCTCCCAAAGCGCTGGGATTACAGGCATGAGCCACTGCACCCGGCCCCTGTTTTGTTTTTATGAGATGGAATCTCGCCCTGTCGCCCAGGCTGGAGTGCAATGGCGCTATCTCGGCTCACTGCAACCTCCTGCAACTTCTGCCTCCCAGGTTCAAAGGATTTTCCTGCCTCAGCCTCCCGAGTAGCTGGGACTTACAGGCATGTACCACCATGCCCAGCTAATTTTTGTATTTTTAGTAGAGACAGTGTTTCACCATGTTGGCCAGGCTGGTCTCGAATTCCTGACCTCAGGTGATCCACCCGCCTCGGCCTCTCAAAGTGCTGAGATTACAGGCATGAGCCACTGCACCCGGCCTAATTTTTGTATTTTTAGTAGAGACAGGGTTTAGCCATGTTGGCCAGGCCGGTCTTGAACTCCTGACCTCAAGAGATCCGCCCACCTCAGCCTCCCAAAGTGCTGGGATTACAGGGGTGAGCCACCATGCCTGGCCTGATCTTATCTTACTTATTAATTTGTTGACATGGTAATTGTCCCTGTCACCTCTCACCCTCAGGATGAAGGCTTCCTGAGGGCAAGGACTTTGTCTTTTTCATATCTGTATCCCCAGATCCTAGAACAATGCCTGGCACATAGAAGGCACTCAATAAATAGGTATAATTGAATTAAACACAGAGATGATTGGCTGGTCAGTAAAGGGCCTTTATCGCTGCCCTTTTTTTTTTTTTTTTTTTTTTTTGAGACAAGGTCTTGCTTTGTCACCCAAGCTGGAGTGCGGTGATGCGAACATGGCACGTTGCAGCCTCGACCTCCCAGGGTGAAGCTATCCTCTTGCCTCAGCCTCCCGAGGAACTGGGACTATAGGCGCATGCCACTACACCTGGGTAATTTTGTATTTTTTGTAGAGACAGGGTTTCATTATGCTGCCCAGGCTGGTCTCAAACTCCTGAGCTCAAGTGATCTGCCCACCTCGGCCTCCCAAAGTGCTGGGATTACAGGTGCAAGCCACCGTGCCCGGCCCTGACTGCCCTTTTTATCCTTCTTGCTGCATTCTCATCCCCTGCCAAAGCCCCAGGCATTGCCCAGCCTGCAGCAGCCCCCAACCACAGCTGTTGCAAACCCACCACCATCGCCACAACCACCACCACCTGAGATCCCTCAGGAACTGTGAGTGGGCTAACACACTCAGGTCTAGCACATGACCTTCAAGCCCCAGTTCCCAACAGAATTGACCCCTGCTCTGGACCCCTTTCCAAGCAGCCCCATCCCCTTATAAACCATGCTTGGAGACCACTGCTCCTATAAGCACACACTTCCTCAGAGAGCCTCAATACAAATGCACCACTATTTACTGAGGGTTCCCCACACGTCAGGCACCCTGCTAGGGGAGTCTCCAATGTCATGGACATGCCAAATGCCAGTGCTCTTCGCCCTCTGAGTCTCCCGGAGTCCCTGTGCCTCCTGCAGTCAGGGTGACAGTGTCAGTCCTGGGCAAGTTGCTGTGCCTGAGCTGAAGGGGAGGCCTCGTCCCGGGCCTGGGCCCCCCTGCCAGCCACTGTCTGCCTTGCTGTCTCTGTCCCTCGCCTCCTCTGGTATCATGCGAGGCACTGGCTCATCTGGAAGCAGATGCTCTGGATGGGGTTGGGCAGCCACACCCGCTCTCCAATCTCTCCCCACTGTTTGGCCCAGTGTTTCTGTGAGAGGATCAGGACAAAGGCAAGAAAGCCCAGGAGGTTCACTGGCTGGCCTGTGGTCCACAGCTCCCGTTTCTTCACCCAGATGCAGGATCTAATGTGGTTCCAAAGCTCAAGGCTGAGGCTGGCTGGTGGATTATAGTTCAAGTTGGGAGATCTGCAGGCAGGAATTATGGAGGCCAGTGTTTGGGGCAAGGAGAAGGGTCTGCAGACTTCAGGGGCCTCAGGACCCAGCTACTGGCCATCTTCAGTCCCTTGGGCTCCTCTGCCAGGCCGTTGGCTGCTCCATAACATTGCCCTGCAACTGCCACAGAACCCTAGCCTCCAAGAGACCCAAAGCTCAGGGCTCTCATCCCCTGGGTGCCAAGCCACACCCAGCACAGTCTCTTCTGGAGCTCAGACTTAGCATCTTTCTTGGAGCGAATAATAGGAAAAATGGGGGGTAAAGGAAGAAATGGAGCACTCAGTCATTTGTGGGTCAGGAGCACAATCACCACACACACACCACAGTCAGCAGAATGCCTTTCCTGATACATATACACACATATCTACACATGCACATGTACACACACAGATTTTCTGAGACACATACTCTGAATTCTTCTGGAAGAGAAGAACTGGCTTGAGAGGGCACAGGAAGCATCCAGGAATGGAAACTAGTATTTCCCAGACTCAAAAGACAGGACCAGTCATTGCTGCAGAAACAAGCAGGGTGACTACTGGTCTCTTGGGTCCAGATCACCATTTTCTTTGGCTGATTGGCTTCCTGCTCATTCCTGTTCCCAATTTTATCCTACGACTTTATCTCCAATGAGGCCCTTTTTCAACTGCCATGACCTAGATTTGTCTTCCTTGGCCCTGAGCATAGCAGGAATACTCATTGGCCATAGGCTCAGCCAGCTCAGTACCCATTGGCTGCTCTGCACTAAGCCTCTGTCTCCATTGGCCACACATTCAAGGCATCCTCATTCATTCTTATTGCTGTGGGTTCAGGCGGCCGTTTTCATTGGCTGCTCTGTCCTGAAGCTCGATCTCTATGGTTGCCACGAGAGGTAGTATCTCCACTGACAGTGAATCCAATGGATGAATGGGCTTTGTTCTCTCCGTGCCACACTGGTAGGTGTCTCCCAACATGTGCCCCCTCCTCAGCCTGCATTAGGGTGGGGGGGCATTGGGGGTGCCTGAAGAAGATCCAACAGCCTCGAGAAGCCTCTGGTTCTGGCGAAGGTGCCTCCTCCTTTCGTGTTCCCCTGTGACTTCACACACCAGCTGGGCAGGGAAGGCCCCAGGAAGCCCCTTCAGCCAACCTGGGGGAAGAGAGACAGAGGCTCCAATGAGGTGGGGGCAGGGAGCAGGTGAGGAGGCAAAGGGGGCCTCGTGGGGTCTCAGGCCTTCAGGGTCATTGTAGGTGTGGGAATTCATGGACAAGCCTGGAGCATCGGTAGAAAGGGCATCAGAAGTGGAGGTGACAGCAGCTCGGAGAGAGTCTGGGCTGCTCTTCCGTCAAGCCCTGCAGTGGCTGCTCATGTCTCTTGGAGTAAGAGGTGGAGTCCTTGCAGAGACCTGTCAGGTCCTGCGTGATCCCATCCCTGCCACTTCTATGACCTCATTTGCTTCTCCCCCTTTCTCTCTCCTGCTAGTCACACTGGCCTCCTTACAGTTCCTCAGTCACACACCAGCCGCAGGGCCTTTGCACTGCCTGCTGCCTCCAGCTGGGACACTCTTCCCCCAGACACCATGGGCCTAAATTAGCTCCATCAAGCTTCATGTTGCCTTCTCAGTGAGGTCCACCTCGGCCTCCCTATTGAAAATTTCAGTCTGCCCAACCCTGGAACTCCTGACCTTCTTTGCTCTGCTCACTTTTTTTTTTTTCCATAACACTCATAACCTTCACATGTACTTTATAATTTACTTATCTATTTTGCTCATTCTTTATCGTCTGCCTCCTCTGCTAGAACGTAGCTCCAGCAAGGAAGGAAGTGTGATATATTTGATTCACAGTCCCTAGAACAGCGAGTGGCACTTTGTAGGTGCTTAATAAATATTTATTGAATGAATAAATGAAACACGGCCAGGCGCAGTGGCTCACGCCTGTAATCCCAGCACTTTGGGAGCCTGAGGCAGGAGGATCACTTGAGCTCGGGAGTTCAAGACCAGCCTGAGCAACATAGTGAGACCCCCCACCTCCATTAAAAAAAAAAAAGAATAGAAATAAGGCCTGGCACCAGAGGCTCATGCCTGTAATCCCAGCACTTTGGGAGGTGAAAGGGGACGGATCACCTGAGGTTAGTTCGAGACCAGCCTGGCCAACATGGTGAAACCCCATCTCTACTAAAAATACAAAAATTAGCCAGACGTGGTGGTGGGCACCTGTAATCTCAGCTACTTGGGAGGTTGAGGCAGGAGAATCCCTTGAACCCAGGAGGCAGAGGTTGCAGTGAGCCGAGCTCACACCACTGCACTCTAGCCTGGCTGACAGAATGAGACTCTGTCTCAAAAAATAATAATAATAAATACAAAATAAATAAATGAAAGACTTTCTCACCTTCAGGGGTCTTGTGCAGGTGTTTGGGGGCAGCCCTGGACTCCAGACTCCGTCCTTCAGTCTTGGCAGGTGCAGACGACTCTGAACACAGTTCCTGGGAACAGTCTGGTTGGGGGTGGGTGACATTAAAGTGATTCTGTTTAGCTTCTCCCCCATATTCCTCTAAGACTCGCTTTTTCTTCCCTCATCCCCTCTAGGGGGATACTCACCACAGTCCTCATAGATGGTGTCTGGGGAGCAGGGAAGGGGGCCTGGGGTTGGGAAGGCTCCCAGCCAGCGCTGCATGTCTGATCTGGTGGGGATATTGGGAAGTGTCACAGTTGGCCCAAAAGATCCTCTGGGGCTGAGGCAGGAGCCACAGAAGAGAGAGACTGGGGAAGTGGGGGAGGTCTGAGAGGTCAGATAAGTGTCCCAAGGTTGTTTTCTGAGGGAAACACAACTCACAGGGAAGAAGCTTGGAGTAGTCGGTGGGTGGGGCGGCCCTGGTGGTTGCTGAGAAGGGAGAGGCGGAAGGTAGGGGGTCCAGATGGATCCGGAACCTGCTGGGCCTGGACCAGGGAGCGATGGGCATAGTCCAGAACCTGTAACCGCTGCCCACTGCCCAGGGATGAGGTCGTTCAGAAGGACAGCAGGGGTCCCGCTGGACCCCTCCTGCCCACTCCAGCCTGGGCTCCTTCCTTCCCTAGGACTCACCTCTTAGGCTGAGTGATGAGCAGCAGGTCGCTAAAGAGCAGCAGGCAAAGAGGGGTGAAGCGGGGGCGCGAGGCAAAGAGCACGCCCCCCCTCCGGCACCCTAACTCAGTCAGCTCTCCCTGGAATTCCAGGCGCCGTGACCAGGAGACCAGGGGCAGGGCCTGCGAGGAAGCGGAGGCAGAGGAGGTTCTAGCGTGGCAGCAGCAACATGGGGCAGGGCAAGATGGGGAGCCTGGGCAGCGATGTACCTTGACTTTGTGGAAGCGCAGCCTTTGGGTGAGCCGGATCAGCTCTTCAGTCTGCTTCATGCGCCCCACCTCAGCGCTGCAACGCTCGATGATCTAGGTAAGGGGAGCTGTGTCACCACCCCAGCGGCCAGCCCCCTGCTCCCTACCATTTCTCTCTACCACCTTGTCACCTCCCCCTGCTTCAGCTTCCCCACTGCCCACCTTGCTGACAGCACCCAGGGCCTTCTGGGCATTCTCCTGACGGCTGGACCCCTCTTCTGTCTGGCGCAGGATATTCTGGGGACAAGGAGGAAGGGTGACTGGGCCCCCTGCTCTGTGGCCCTGGGATTCAGAGGGGCCACAGCTCAGAGGACCCTGTCTGTTTCAGCCAGTTTCAACAAGGCTGACAGACCTCATCACTCACCATCTGCAGAACCCTGAGCAAGTCCTGTTACCTCTCTGAGCCTCAGCTTCCCTATCTGTAAAATGGGGCTAATACCCACCTAGCATATCAATAGCATTGTTTTGAGGATTCAAGAAGGCAATATATGTAAAGTGCTTAGCATAGTTCTTGGCACATATTAAATGTTGAAAAGAAGGTTCTTATTTTTTTTTCTTCCGGAGTCTGGCTCTGTCACCCAGGCTGGAGTGCAGGGGTGCGATCTCGGCTCACTGCAACCTCTGCCTCCCGGGTTCAAGTGATTCTCCTGCCTCAGCCTCCCAAGTAGCTGGGATTACAGACGTGTGCCACCACGCCCGACTAATTTTTTTGTATTTTTAGTAGAAGCGGGGTTTCACCATGTTGGCCAGGCTGGTCTTGAACTCCTGACCTCAGATGATCCACCCGCCTCGGCCTCCCAAAGTGCTGGGATTACAGGCATGAGCCACCGTGCCTGCCCCGAAGGTTCCTATTATTTTAATAATTATTAACCAAAACTGTTAGTGCAGGCAATATAGCAGAGTAGCTAAGAGTGCTTAGATTACAATTTTGTCTCCATCAATTATTTCTGTATGACCTGAGGCAAGTTATGTGACCTGTGCCTTAGCTTTCTCATGTCTAAAGTAGGACAAGTAATAGTTCCTACCCTCACATAGTTGCAGGTAAGGTTACACAGGTGTATAGCACTTAGAACCATTCCTAGAAAGCTTAATAGCTGTTGAGCTATTTTGATTAGTATCATTATTATTATTTTGTTGTCTACAATGGGGATAGATAAAGCTGAATAAGATCATAAAGACACTGATAATCTAGTTGGGAACTCTTCACATAAAGATCCCCTCATTCACTGGGCTCAGTAGCTCACACCTATAATGCTAGAGCTTTGAGAAGCTGAGATAGGAGGATTGCTTGAGGCCGGGAGTTCAAGACCAGCCTGGCCAACATAGTGAGACCCTGTCTCTATAAAAATAAAAATTAATAAATAGCCGGGCATGGTGGCATTGTAGTCCCAGCTACTCTAGAGGCTGAGGCACAAGGATCCCTTGAGCCCAGGAATTTGAGGCTGCAGTGAGCCGTGATCGTGCCAGTGCTCTAAAGATCCCCATATTGGGAGACCTGGTTAGAAAGGACTCTCTGCTTTGCTATAGAAGAGAGTGTCTTAGGCCGGGTGCAGTGGCTCACGCCTGTAATGCCAGCACTTTGGGTGACTGAGGCAGGTGGACTACATGAGGTCAGGAGTTCGATAGCAGCCTGGCCAACATGGTGAAACCCCATCTCTACTAATAATACAAAAATTAGCCAGGCATGGTAGTCCACACCTGTAATCCCAGCTACTCAGGAGGCTGAGGCAGGAGAATCGCTTGAACCCGGGAGGCAGAGGTTGCAGTGAGCCGATATTGCGCCACTGTACTCCAGCCTGGGAGTGAGACTCCGTCTCGAAGAAGGAGATGGAGAAGAGGAGGAGGAGGAGGAAGAAAGTGTCTCAAATCTCAAACTTTTTTTTCCCCCGTATCACCCCACTAAGTTGCCTTTTTAAGATAATTTTCCCTAAACATCTCCCTCACCATGAAAGTTTAATTCTACAGATCTACTGGAACTCTGTTTATGCACTAAAGCTTAATGGAGTACAACTGTTGGAATAACTAAGATTATTTTCACCCCCAAAGAACCAATTTTTGCCCCCTTGGGGGTGATACCACCCCAGCTGGGAAGGCATGTGGGTAGAAGAATATAGCCAGAGACAACCTCAAAAACCGCTCACACACTCCCCCTGAGACCCAGCGAGCAGAAGGGACTTGCCTAAGGTCACTCAGAGAGTCAGTGGCAGAGCTAGGTGTGGAACTCATGTCTCCAGCCAGAGGGCCTTTCCCTGCACCTGGACCTAGAGGCAGTCCAGGTAAGGGGAAGAGCACAGGGCCCCTAAGGTAGGACTTGGTGAGTCCTAGGCTGAGAGACCCAGATTCGGAGTTATGATTTGGGGGATTTTATGTTTAAGGTGGAGTAGTGCATGGTGATAGCTGGAGGGCCAAGAAGCCCTCGGGAGAGTTCTCCGATGGGGTTGGTGGGGCAGAAACGGCCGCAGCTGGGACAGGTACCTGCAGCAGCATGCGCAGCCGGGTGATGCGCTGGAAGGGCAGTAGCAGGAAGGACGGCAGCGGGAGCCGCTCACACTTAGGGAGGCTCTGCAGCCGGCGCAGCTCGGCGGAGAAGCGCACGTTGGTGTCCCTGCAGAAGCAGGCATGGCTAGCGGCTGCCTGGAGGCCCTGGTGCCCCAACCTGCTGTGGCCTCGGTCCCATCCCTCTCCCCAGCTTCCTCCCCACCCCTGGGACACTCACATGAGGCGGCTGTAGGTCTCCTCCTGATACTGCTGGTTCCGCACATAATCCACATACACCGAGAAAGGCCCCACAGCGTGGGCATGCACCACATCACACAAGTCGCTGATGTGGGGGGAAGAGCGCACACGGGACAGGAGCGTTGCTAGAAACCTGAAGGAATTGGGGAAGCAAGCAATGGGGCGGGGCAGAGAGCCAGGTCTCCCGGGTTCTTGAGAGAAGGTTTGGGAACTAACTGGGTCCGTAGAAGGAAGGACCTGGGCCCGGGAGAGAGGAAAGGGCGTGCCCAGCAGCCTAAGGGCAGGTTCCCTGGAAGGACGGAAAGCCACTGACCGCTCGCTGACTCCCTGGACTCGCTGCACATTGGAGAAGAGTGTGTGGTGATCACGGGGGGTGAGCGTGTCCCGGAGTGCCTGGCTCAGCACGAAGGTGTCGGTCAGCAGCCGCAGGGAGCGCAGGTAGGAAGCCTCGGACGTCACCACCTCGAAAAGACTCTAGAAAGAAAAGCAGGCAGTCGTGGGAAGCCCAGTTCACCGTGGGAAGCTAGGACCCTGGGCCCTCCTCCCCTATGCCTGACCCATGCAGCCCAACCCCAGCACCCCCCTCCCATCTCCCACCTCCAGCTCCCACCTCCTGCATGCGCCTCTCCTGGGGGCTGAGGGTATCCAGAAGACCGCTGGCTTGCACAGCCGGAAGCTCCTGCCACAGGGTGTTGCGAGGTCCAGGGGGTCGTGGGAAGGTGGGTGCATCTCCAGCATTTGCTGGAGAAGGACTCCCATCCTCACCCACCCCCCACAGCTCCTCTGACAGCACGGCTGCTCGGTAGGTCTGGTACAGAGGTTCTAGAGGGCAAACATAGCACTTCAGGGAAGCCCAGGGCTCCCAAACCCTTCCCCACTGCTTGATGGTCACAGCAGGGACCCTCAGGTCCAGAGGCCCTCACCATCCTGCAGGGGCAGCTCCCAATTCTGCTCCTTCAGCACCTCTAGCCCCTCCTCTTCCCTGTGGAGAAAGAAAGGGAAGGAAGTCCCCAGGGCCACCACTGCTGCCCACCGTAGGGGTGCTTGTTCTCATGCTGGACAGGGCAACCCATGTGCAGGTTGGATGTAGGGACCCTGACGGCTCCCCAAATCAAACCTCAGGCTTTTTTTTTTTTTTTTTTTTTGAAGGGGAAAGGCAAGGTCTCGTTATGTTGCCCAGGCTGGTCTTAAACTCCTGGTCTCAAGCAATCCTGCCACCTTGGCCTCACAAAGTGTCAGGATTACAGGCGTAACCTACTTTGCCCGGCCCAAATTCCAGATCTTTTTATGTGCCTTTTAGAGAGGAGCCCCTGAACTAAGTGGGCCCCATTCTTATGTCAACTATTGCAGACCAGAGATTTCTGAGTCTCCTTGTCAGCCGTCTCACGTAGCAACCATTGTCTGGAACGCCCTATTTGTGTGTCAAGGAAGCTCAACGTGATGGACTGCAAACTCTCACACCTCCCACCAGCACCTGCAGCCCCTTATCTCCCCTGCTGTGGTCATCAGCACCACCACACCCCCATTCGCCCAAGCTAAAAACCACACTAGTAAATGTTTGTTGAATAAATGAATGGACACAGATAACTTCTGATAACAATGGTGAATCTAAGATAATTAACAATCCTGGATAGCATAGAAGAGATGGTCATGATTGCCAAATAGATTTTCGGACAATAATTGCAATAGAAGCTCAAGGTGAGGGAAGGGAGTTAAAATGGTGCACTCACTTACTCTGGACCCGGCTCTTCACAATATCATATCCCCACGATTCCATGAGGTGGTTCCTATGCTTAGCCCCATTTCACAGATGAGGACACTGAGACCCAGGAAGGCTACAGATTTTTTTTTTTTTTGAGATGGAGTTTCTCTCTTGTCGACCAGGCTGGAGTGCAGTGGCACGCTCTTGGCTCCCTGCAACCTCCATCTCCCTGGGTCCAAGCCATTCTCCTGCCTCAGCCTCCCGAGTAGCTGGGATTACAGGCACCCGTCACCATGCCCGGCTAATTTTTGTATTTTTAGTAGAGACAGGGTTTCACCACGTTAGCCAGGCTGATCTTGAACTCCTGACTTCAGGTGATCCTTCTGCCGCGGCCTCCCAGAGTGCTGGGATTACAGATGTAAGCCACCGTGCCCGGCCTTCTATAAGATCACAGAATTGATAAGGGCCAGAGCTGGGATTCGAAACAAGGGCTGCTTATCTCTAGAGCCCTGGCCCTTGTCCCCTCACCTTTGTGGAGGTGGGATTTAGCTGGAGCTGAAGGTTAGTCTGCCCTCAGGTAGAAGCATGGTGGGGAGAGAACCAGGGAGTAGGGGTGGGGGTGTTCAGTACCTCCCCTCCACAGTTGCTGGAGGAGTATTCTGAGGAGCTTCATCAGGACTGTCCCCTGGAGAGAGAAGCCAGAGTGAAGAGAAAAAAAAACTCCAGGATCCCCAGCCAGGACTCCCGACTCCAGCCCCAGCAGGGATGGTTACTATAAAAACTGCAACTCTCTTCAGCACCAGAGCAGCAGCTGGTGGGGAAGCAAAGAGCCCAGTGCCTGTTGGGGATTGTAGTTTGCTGGGCTTTAGTTCCCCCCTGCCTCTCTCCTGTCCCCTCACAGCCCAGAGGTCCACTCCCCCAGGCCCTGCACCTGTTTGGATTCCATCTTCAGAAAGCAGATCAAGATCTGGCTGTGGGGGGTCCCCGAAAATGGTGGCATCCTGCCTGACACGAGTTGGTTTGGGAGGCTTGAGGAGTGGCAGGAGTTTGCGCTCAGCAGTGGAGCGGTAGGATGTGAGGACAACGGCAGGGTGACCGATGCTTGGAGGGTGGGGGCGGGAGCGAGAGGTCCGCAGCGGGGAGGCCCGACGGGGGACCCTGGGGACCTCCTCATAGCCCCCCACAGGCACCCATCTGAGCTCCAGGCCAGGCCGGGTGGTGTGGCAGACACAGGGGCAGCAGGGAGGGCAGGCCAGGCCAGCATCTGTGGGAGACAGGTAGCCTAAGGAGAAAGCCCTTGGGGCCCAGCTCCACCCCCGCCCAGACCATCTCCATCTTTAACCTGCCCAGCAACTGCAATATCAAGGTCCAGGCATCTATAGATCTCCTCCACCCTGACTCCCTTCAAATCCCGACATACAGAAACCAGATATCCCAAACATTAACTCCATTTTTGAAAAGGTAGCCCCTGAAAGTTGTTAGCACTGAAAACGGAGAAGATGGGTGGATTGAGGTCACCCAGCGCCCCCCACCCGCCACACTCACCTGGAGCACCGTTCTCCTGGGACCCACTCCCGGTGAGGGGAGCTTCTCTCTCCCCATTCACATCTGCTCTCGCTTGGAGACCTGGCTCCGGGGCATCTGCATCCTGAGCCCGGCCTTCAGCACCCCCTTCAAACCTGCCAGCCAGCCTCCGCACAGTGCCAGGAGCTGAGGCAGAGCCATTCTGAGCCAGGACTCCAGCCATGGGGAGCAGAGGCGTGCAGGGTGACCCAGACGGCTTGGGTGGGGGGACTGGAGACCGGGGAGCAGGTTCTGGGGAGGCGGAGCGCCGGGACACTGGACTAGGTGTGGGGGTGCTGGAAGGTGAGTCTGGGGAAGTCTGGGAGTCGAGGCTGGCTCTAGAAGCTGAGGGGGGCAAAAGAGCAGGGGGCTTGAGGGATGCAGCTGGGGGCTCCCAGAAGATGGGGGTGCACATTGGGGTTGGTGCATCATTGGAGTTTCGGGGTAGTTCTTGTGGAGAGGAGCCATTGTGGGGAGGCCCTGGGGACTGGGCAGCCCTGGAACGAGAAGGAGGGCGGGGGCGGATGATCCGAGGGGGCTTCTGCGTGGGGGGTGTTGCTGCAGGAAGGGACTGGGCTGACATCTTCCTCTGTGCTCTTCAAAGGAGTGAGGTGCTCTGCTGGAGTCATCCCCTGAGGAGGAGGGAGGGAAAGAGAAAGACCCTTAGTGCCCCACAGGGAGGGTAAACTGGGGCCACTGGAAGGCAGGATTTTGAAGTCAGGAGGGAAGGCTGGTGTGGGGGTTCCAGAGAATCCATAAAACTCAATACGGGATACAGCCGCTCCGTGTCTGCCCACTGAACCGTGTGTCCGTGGAGTGTGTTGTGGAGGTTTGTGTGTGGTTTGTGTAGGGGGTGGCATGGTGTGTTGTGAGTGTGCGAGTTCTGTGCTTGCCGGGTGGGTGTGCAGGGGGAGAGTGGAGCATACGGTGTGTGGTGTGTGGCCCTTTAGGAAGTTCTCGGTGTGAGTGTCTGAGATAGCGGTGCCAGGGTGGGTGTGCCATGTGTGTTCTGCGCTGTCTGGGTCTGGGTGCCGTGGGCGCGCCTGTCCGCCGGGCCTGGGCTGCGAGGCGTGCATCACTGTTTCCCTGCTCCACTGGCCCTCCGCCCCCCATTTCCCAGTTCCTCTCTCCGGACTCTCCCTTTCCGGATTATTTTTAGTCTCCTTTTCCTGCCATCAAGATTCTTGGAGCCTCTGACCCCCGGAGATGAGGAGGTCCTGGCGAGGTCTCTCCTGTCCTGCGTCTGATCATCCCCGCCTGCCCTAGGGTCTGGTCACAGAGAGAGGCCCAGCACAGCCATGGGTCTTGCCAAGAGGCCTGGGGAGGTGGCTGGGAGAATGAACCGAAGGACAGGACCAGTCGGGCCAGGGCGCTGCGGCCTGGGTTTCTCTTCCTCCCTCGAGGAAGGAGGCTACAATCCCAAGAAGGCTGCAGGGTCAGGGCTGGGAAGCAGAGGAACCCCCAAACTCCCTTCAGGGGTCAGCAGGAGAGTCAGACCCCTCCAGGCCTCGGACTGGCTCCTTGAGAAATGATGAGGGGGGAACAAGGGGGTTGTAGATGATGGGTCTTGCAGCTCAGTGGCCTCTGTGTTCTGGCAGAAAGTCATTTAGCAAAGTGACCCACACGGTAGTCTTGACCACTGGCCAACTCCTCCCCAGCCCCTGCCCCTCAGGGATCCCACCCCCTCTCGGGTACCTGCATTTACTTCCTTCCCTACCCCACCCTTAGGAACCCAGGTACTCGGGCCCCAAGCACTCACCCTTGAATCCCCTCCACTCTCAGTCACCTCCCAGGGCTGAGTGAGTAGGGGCAGGAAACAGGAATCAGATCCGCCTCCCAACCGGACACCCCCCCCTCACGAACCACACCACTCTCCACATGCGCACATCACACAGGGCCCCAGGAGACAGAGGTATCCAGGGTCTCAGAGGTTAAAGGGGTCTGGGGAAAAGCTGAAATTCAGGCTTGGAAAGTGTGTGCGCAGGTTCTACCTGCACAGCTGTGTGGATCGGGGCTCATAGGGGTGAGGTGGACAGGGGTAGGGATGAGGACAAGACGGCAATGGCACAGAGCCTGGCTGAGCAGCATGGGTGTCTGGATGCCTCTGTCTCAGCTAAGGGATGCTGCGTGCGTCCCTCCACGGCGAGTCTCACCATCTTTCCCCGACTTGCACCACCACCTGTCTCCTGAGCCGGGTGTGAGCCAACGCCTATTTCACACCCAGGGACCCTCCCGCAGGCTTCCCTCCCTAACTCTGCAGTAGGTCCCCATGAATTTACCTTTATCTTTTTGGAACCAGTTGCTATTTTCAGCCTGTCCTGTCTGCCCCTTGGAGCGAGGAATGCAGGGCTGAGGTTTCCAAGTGTGTGTTCCTGTGATTCTGGGGTGGGAACTCAGGGCCCAGATTGAGATCTCTGCGGAGGAAGCCAGTTCCTCAGCCCCACCCAGCCATTGTGTCTGGCGTGTGTGTGTGTGTGTGTGTGTGTGTGTGTGTGTGTGTGTGTGTTAGAGGAGAGAGAAAAGGGGAGGGCCAGGAGGTAGGACTGAAGAGAGAAGTGTGGACTTGGGGTCTGTCTCCTCCAGGGAGGTATAACATTTGCAGGGGCCCAGGCGTGGTTGCTCATCCTTATAATCCCAGCACTCCAGCACTTTGGGAGGGCAAGGTGGGAGGACCAGCCTCGGCAACATAGTGTGACCCTGTCTCTACAAAAGATTTTTAAAAAATTAGCCGTGGACAGGCCGGGCGAGGTGGCTCACATCTGTAATCCCAGCACTTAGGGGGGCCGAGGCAGGCGGATCACCTGAGGTCAGGAGTTCGAGACCAGCCTGACTAACATAGTGAAACCCCGTTTCTATTAAAAATACAAAAAATTAGCCAAGCATGGTGGCACACGCCTGTAATCCCAGCTAGTCGGGAGGCTGAGGCAGGAGAATTGCTTGAACCCAGGAGGCAGAGGTTGCAGTGAGCCGAGATCGCGCCATTGCACTTCAGCTTGGCCAACAAGAGCGAAATTCCATCTCAAAAGAAAAAAAAAAGCCATAATGGCACACATCTGTGGTCCCAGCTACTCAGGAGGCTGAGGTGGGAAGATTACTTGAGCCCAGGAGTTGGACACTACAGTGAGCCGTGATCGCACCACTGCCCTCCAGCCTGGGCAACAGAGCAATATGCTGTCTGAAAACAATAAAAAATGTGCAGAGGTCGGGCGCAGTGGCTCATGCCTGTAATCCCAGCACTTTGGGAGGCCGAGGCAGGAGGATCACCTGAGGTCAGGAGTTTGAGACCAGCCTGGCCAACATGGTGAAACCCTGTCTCTACTAAAAATACAAAAAAATTAGCCGGGTGTGGTGGCGCACGCCTGTACTACCACCTACTCGGGAGGGTGAAGCAGGAGAATCACTTGAACCCAGGAGGTGGAGGTTGCAATGAGCCAAGATCCTGCCACTGCACTCCAGCCTAGGCAACAGAGCAAGACTCCATCTCAAAAAAAATAAAAATAAAAAATGTCCCAGGAGCCGTGGCTCACGCCTATAATCCTAGCAGATTGGGAGGCCAAGGAGGGTGGATCATCTGAGGCCAGAAGTTTGAGACCAGCCTGGCCAACATGGTGAAACCCCATCTCTACTAAAAAAAAAAAATACAAAAATTAGCTGGGCATGGTGGCGGGCACCTGTAATCCCAGCTGCTCTGGAGGCTGAGGAGAGAGAATCACTTGAACCCAGGAGGTGGCAGTTGCAGTGAGCTGAGATCGTGCCATTGCACTCCAGCCTGGGCAACAAGAGTGAAACTCCATCTCAAAAAAAAAAAAAAAATTAGCCGGGCATGGTGGCACTCGCCTGTAATCCCAGCTACTCAGGAGTCTGAGGCACAAGAATCACTTGAGCCCAGGAGGCGGAGGTTGCAGTGAGCTGAGATCGTGCCATTGCACTCCAGCCTGGGCAACAAGAGTGAAACTCCATCTCAAAAAAAAAAAAAAAATTAGCCAGGCATGGTGGCACTCCCCTGTAATCCCAGAAGAGACTTAATTTTCCAAACAATAAGCCCCAATAAAAACAGCATGAAGCCAATTAAATTTTTTCCAAAAAAAAATTTTTTTTTTGAGACGGAGTCTTGCTCTGTTGCCTAGGCTGGAGTGCAGTGGTGCGATCTCTGCTCACTGCAACCTCCGCCTCCTAGGTTCAAGTGATTCTTCTACCTCAGTCTCCCGAATAGCTGGGATTACAGGCATCTGCCACCATGCCCGGCTAATTTTTTGTATTTTTTAGTAGAGGCAGGGTTTCCCCATGTTGGCCAGGCTGGTCTCGAACTCCTGACCTCGTGATATGCCCGACTCGGCCTCCCAAAGTGCTGGGATTACAGGCGTGAGCCACCACACCTGGCCCCAAAAATTTTATAAATAGTCTATAACATTTTAATCTTGACCATAAGATGTAACTTCCATAACCTTTGTATAACCTTTATAACCTTTATTAAGGAGTCAGTTAATGCTCCAAGAAAACCTTGTGAATCTGACACAGGGGCCCATATGCTGGTCTTGCATCAGTGTGTCTTTGACATTAATGGTTAATTTATAGAGAAACTGAATTTATTTTATTTCTCAAAATCAACCCTTACCATCTCACATGCCCACCTCTTCTGCAATAGTCCCTGGGCCTTGAGGAGTTTAACAGCTTTAATTTGTGGCCGTGTGTCTCGGCAATACAGTTATTTTGATTGGCATCTTCTACTGGGCCTGAAGATGAGGCTTTAATTGATGTTAGTTTTTAAGATTTAGCAGAATTGGTGTCCTTTTTAGACCCAAGAATCAAAGCCCTGTAACTCAGTGTCACAAGGACTTTAAAAGCACATACAGAAAAATACATGGATGTAATAAACTTAATTTTAAAAAATTGTTTTTGGCCTGGCATGGTGGCTCACACCTGTAATCCCAACACTTTTGGAGGCCGAGGTGGGTGGATCACCTGAAGTCAGGGGTTCAAAACCAGCCTGGCCAATATGGTGAAACCCCATCTCTGCTAAAAATACAAAAATTAGCTGGGCGTGGTGGCAGGCGCCTGTAATCCCAGCTACTTTGGAGGCTGAGGCAGGAGAATTGCTTGAACCCGGGAGGCGGAGGTTGCAGTGGGCCGAGATCGGGCCACTGCACTCCAGCCTAGGTGACAGAGATTCCATCTCAAAAAAAAAAATGAAAAGGAAAAAGAAAAAAAGCAAGAGTAGCCTCTGTTGCAATAACTATTTTAGTCAATAAATCAGGTAACACAATACAAAAGTAGGCAGTTTAGCCAGGCAAGGTGGGCAGATCACCGAGGTCAGGAGTTCGAGACCAGCCTGGCCAACAGGGTGAAAATCTGATTCTACTAAAAATACAAAATATTAGCCGCGCATGGTGGTGCATGCCTATAATCCCTGCTACTCAGGAGGCTGAGGCAGAAGAATCACTTGAACCCGGGAGGCAGAGGTTGCAGTGAGCCAGGATCACACCACTGCACACCAGCCTGGGCACGACAGAGTGAGACTCCATCTCAAAAAAAAAAAAAATTTATTTTGCCAAGGTTGAGAGCACACACCTGTGACACAGCTTCAGGAGATCTTGATGACATGTGTCCAAGGTGGTTAGGGCACAGCTTGGTTGGTTTTATACATTTTAGGGAGACATAAGACCTCAATCGATATAAGTAAGACGTACATTGGTTTAGTCTGGAAAGGCGGGACAACTCAAGCACGGAGAGGGCTTCCAGGTCACAGGTAGGTGAGAGACAAACTGTTGCATTCTTTTCAGTTTCTGATTAGCCTTTCCAAAGGAGGCAATCAGATATGCTTTTTTTTTTTTTTTGACAAAGTCTCACTCTGTCACCCAGGCTGGAGTGCAGTGGTGTGATCTTGGCTCACTGCAACCTCCGCCTCCCGGGTTCAAGTGATTCTCCTGCCTCAGCCTCCCGAGTAGCTGGGACTATAGGTGCCCACGACCACGCCCAGCTAATTTTTGTATTTTTAGTAGAGACGGGGTTTCACCATGTTGACCAGGATGGTTTCGATCTCCTGACCTCGTGATCTGCCCGCCTCGGCCTCCCAAAGTGATGGGATTACAGGCGTGAGCCACTGCGCCCCGGCTCCAGATATGCATTTATCTCAGTGAGCAGAGGGATGACTTTGAGTAGAATGGGAGGCAGTTTGCCCTAAGCAGTTCCCAGCTTGACTTTTTCTTTAGCTTAGTGATTTGGGGGCCCCAAGATTCATTTTCCTTTCACACTGTATATCCCAAAGTTCTGGAAGAGGATCAGGCACATAATAGGTGCTCAATAGTTGATGAATTGAACCAAATTGAATTGAATCCTTCCCACAGTTCACTACTCCTCTTTTTTTTTTCTTTTTTTTTTTTCTGAGACGAAGTCTGTGTTGCCCAGGCTGGAATGCAGTGGCAGGATTTCGGCTCACTGCAACCTCTGCCTCTTGGGTTCAAGCAATTGTCTTACCTCAACCTTCTAAGCAGCTAGGATTACAGGCATGCGCCACCACGTCCGGCTAATTTTTGTACTTTTAGTAGAGATAGAGTTTCACCACGTTGGCCAGGTTGGTCTTGAACTCCTGACCTCAAGTGATCTGCCTGCCTCGGCCTCCCAAAGTACTGGGATTACAGACATGAGCCACCGTGCCCAGCCTTTTATTTTTTTATTTTTTGATACTCTTTCTGTTGCCCAGGCTGGAGTGCAGTGGCATGATCTTGATTCACTACAACCTCCACCTCCCGGGTTCAAGCAATTCTCCTGCCTTAGCCTCCCGAGTAGCTGGGATTACCGGCGTGTGCCACTGTGTCCGGCTAATTTTTGCTATTATTTTTAGTAGAGATGGAGTTTCACCATGTTGGCCAGGCTGGTCTCGAACTTCTGACCTCAGATGATCCGCCCACCTCAGCCTCCCAAAGTGCTGGGATTACAGGCGTGAGCCACCGCGCCTGGCCTGTATTTCTTAAATGTATTTGAATGTATTTGATTGAGGCCAGGCGCGGTGGCTCAAGCTTGTAATCCCAACTCTTTGGGAGGCCGAGGCGGGCCGATCAGCTGAGGCCAGGAGTTCGAGACCAGCCTGGCCAACATGGTGAAACCCCATCTCTACTAAAAATACAAAAATAAGCCAGGCGTGGTGGCGAGCGCCTGTAATCCCAGCTATTGTACTTGGGAGGCTGAGGCAGGAGAATCGTTTGAACCTGGGAGGCAGACGTTGCAGTGAGCCGAGATTGTGCCACTGCACTCCAGCCTGGGTGACAGAGTGAGACTTGGTCTCAAAAAAAAAAAAGTATTTGATAGAAGTCTCATGTCTCCCTAAAATGTATAAAAGCAAGCTGCACCCCAACTACATTGGGCACATGTTCTCAGGATCTCCTGAGGGCTGAGTCACAGGCCATGGTCACTCATATTTGGCTCAGAATAAATCTCTTCAAATATTTTACAGAGTTTGACTCTTTTTGTCAATATCACCATCTATTTTATTTGTGTCTTATCTCATTACAAAAAGAAACTGAGCTCCGAAAATCATATTATGCAGTAAACATGAGACTATTTGTGCATGCACACGTTATTTATTATAAAATACTTTTGCAAAGACACTGAAGGTTTTTGACGTAATAATTCATTCTTCTACCACCCTTACAGAGCAAAAGTTTTCTATTTTTTCATATTCCAAATGTGCCATCATAGTTTCAAGTCTGTCTTCTGCCTTGTTCTCTTAGCATTGCTTTATAACCAATTTTCATGTCGCTACGTGGTCTTTGCAGCTATAACGTTTCCTGGAATATAATGTTGCATCAAATAGATTTCATCTTCCTGGTAACAGCAGTGTCCATCTCCTACGAAACTCTCCATCACCCACCCGACTCCATGTGGTTCCAGTGGGACAGCCAATCACAACAGCCTCCCTCTGGCCACGTGACTCAGGTTTGTTCAATCACAGTGCCGTATTCCTCTGGCCACAGAGACTGGTCCAGGAATGAGCAGGTCAGGACAGACTCCAGGAGAAAGAGAAGCTTCTGGGCCTCTGAGAAAGAGAAGCTTTCTCTTTCCTCCAAGCTCACAAGGCAGGAACAATCTAAGTCAGGAGCTGTCTATACCTTGGCCTACTTCCTTCCCCTGGAAAAGGAGGAAGCCAGTCAACAGTGGGAGAAAATGAGCCCCATACCTGAGGGAAGCAGAGCCAAGAGAGGGAGGAAGCCTGGCGGTGGCGCATGCCTGTAGTCTCAACTACTCCAGAGGCTGAGGCAGGAGGATCACTTGAGCCCAGGAGTTCGAGGCTGCAGTGAACCAAGACCACGCCCCTGCACTCCAGCCTGGGTGACAGAGCAAAAAAAAAAGCTGGGGATTACAATGATATTTGAGTCCCTTGGACCTCCCAGCTTCCAGAGGCATGACATTCCCTTTTGCGCTTGAGCTGGTTTTAGCTGGTTTTCTGTCACTTACTGCTGAAAGAACCTTGACCATTACAATTTATCCCCTAGTGCAGAACTGGGAGACAGTCCTCCTAGGGAAGCTTACACTCTTTACCATTACAAATAATTAGTGCAGCCGGGCGTGGTGGCTCACACCTGTAATCCCAGCACTTTGGGAGGCTGAGGCAGGCAGATCACTTAAGGTCAGGAGTTCATGACCAGCCTGGACAACAAGATGAAACCCCGTCTCTACTAAAAATACAAAAATTAGCCAGGCATGTTGGCACAAGCCTGTAATACCAGCTACTCAGGAGGCTGAGGCCAGAGAATGGCTTGAACCCAGGAGGCGGAGGTTGCAGTGAGCCAAGATCACACGATTGTACTCCAGCCTGGGCGACGGAGCGAGAATCCGTCTCAAAAAAAAAAAAAAAAAAAAGACTTCAATTTGAAGTCTTTTTGAAGTATTATTATTATTATTATTATTTGAGACAGAGTCTTGCTCTGTTGCCCAGGCTGGAGTGTAGTGGTGCAATCTCGGCTCACTGCAACCTCCGCCTCCTGGGCTCAAGCCATTCTCCTGCCTCAGCCTCCCGAGTAGCTGGGACTACAGGCGCCCGCCACCACGCCTGGCTAACTTTTTGTAGAGACGGGATTTCACCATATTGGCCAGGCTGGTCTTGAACTCCTAATCTTGTGATCCTCCCGCCTCAGGCTCCCAAAGTGCTGGGATTACAGGCGTGAGCCACCACGCCCGGCCTGAAATATTATTAATGAAGTAACCCTAGGAGCTTCAATGTGACTGGTTTAGACTTTGCTTGGAGAGTCTGTTCTGGAAGGATGAAGGAGCCCATAAGCGTCTGCTCCATCTCTTTGTGTCCACACCCAGCAGCCTCCTTCGGTCTTCCTCATGTCATTGACCTGTTGGTTGGAAAAAGTGGGTGTCAGGGAGAAGAGGCACTTTGACTGTTCATTTAAAATCAGGCAGAGGGGTTTAGCCAAGCCAAGAGGCAGGGCATGAAGGAGCATTGTGGGAATCCAGGGAAGCGCAGGCACAGCGAAGAGGAAAGTAGGCACGTCTGGAGAACCGTGAAAGGGAAACAAACTGATCTGAAATGAAAAGAGGGACACATGGAGGCCATATCGTGAGCAATCACACCGGGCAGACAGGCCCTGAAGGTTTCAGAGCAGAGTAGGGGGAGTGGATCACGATAGTTTTTGTTTGTTTGTTTGTTTGTTTTTGAGACAGGGTCTTAAAATCGCCTTTGTAAAGTTATAACTGAGGAAATTATGACAGTGAAAGAAATCAGACCTCACCAGTTCCATGTTGCTTCTAATCTTTAAGCTGTCCTTGTTCATTCCTCAGCGTAGGCTGAACTAACTTTGGGAAGGAATTCAGTTCATGGTTTGACTCTGAAACAAAATTGTTAATAGTCCTTAACTGAAAAGACCCCCTTCTTGCCTGGGGACCAGTCTGCCTTTGCAGGACTAACAAATTGACAGATTAGCTACAAGATTATAAATTAGTTTGGGGGTCATGCAGCCGCTGGCTCTATGAATCAGCTGATACCACCCAGACCTTAATCTGGCACCACCTGTTCTGTCATCACACCCAGGAACAGAAGACAGCAAGAAAACCTCACTTCGACCCCCTGCAATTCCATCTCCAACCTGACCAATCAGCACTCCCCACTTCCCAAGTCCCTACCCGCCAAATGATCTTTAAAAACTCTGATTCTGGTAGCCGGGTGCGGTGGCTCAAGCCTCTAATCCCAGCACTTTGGGAGGCTGAGGCGGGCAGATCACGACGTCAGGAGATCGAGACCATCCTGGCTAACACGGTGAAACCCCGTCTCTACTAAAAGTACAAAAAATTAGCCGGGCGTGGTGGCGGGGGCCTGTAGGCCCAGCTACTGGGGAGGCTGAGGCAGGAGAATGGCGTGAACCCGGGAGGCGGAGCTTGCAGTGAGCCAAGATGGCGCCATTGCACTCCAGCCTGGGCGACAGAGCGAGACTCCGTCTCAAAAACAAACAAACAAACAAACAAACAAACAAAAAACTGATTCTGCTTGGGGAGACTGATTTGAGTAATAATGTAATAAAACTCCCGTTTCGGCTGGGCACAGTGGCTTATGCCTGTAATCCCAGCACTTTGGGAGGCCGAGGTTGGCAGATCACGAGGTCAGGAGTTCAAGGCCAGCCTGGCCAACATGGTGAAACCCTGTCTCTACTAAAAATACAAAATATTAGCCGGGTGTGGTGGCGCACGCCTGTAGTCCCAGCTACTCGGGAGGCTGAGACAGGAGAATCGCTTGAACCCAGGAGACAGAGGTTGCAGTGATCAGAGACCATGCCATTACACTCCAGCCTGGGTGACAAAGCGATACTCCGTCTCAAAAAAAAAATAAATAAATAAGATTTGGTTTAGGAGTCATGCAGCTGGAGGCTGCAAGATTCTGAACCTCCCCAAATTGCTCCTGGGGATAACATCATTCTTGTAAAACCTAAGATGAGTGCTTGTGATATTTTGCAGACCCTGCACTCAAAGCATCATCTGGCAACACCCGGATCAATAAACTGGTTCATCTGTTCTTGTGGCCCCCACCCAGGAACCGACCCAGTGAAAGAGGAGAGTTTCAACTCCCTGTGATTTCGTCTCCCACCTAACCAATTAGCACTCCCCACTTTCTGACCCCCTACCCACCAAATTATCAAAAACCCTGATCTCTGAATTTTCAGGGAGATTGACTTGAGTAATAATCAATTTTGCATGTGGCATGGCCGGCCTCGTGTCAATTAAACTCTTTCTTTACTGCAATGCCGTGGTCTTTATTTGTGCAGAGGACAGGAAGAGCCCACTGGGCAGTTACATTTCCACTGAGGATGCTAAGCTGGTGGAATATGGGCCTGCAGCTGCTAGTGGCCATCAGTGAGGTGGCCTGAGAATAAAACCGATACATGGCAGAGGTGGAGAGAGACAGATTTGAGTGCCTGATTCTGCTGGCCTGAAGTCATGTGTGTGTCTGGAGCTTTCAGTTGTGTGAGTCAATGAGTTCCCTTTTTGTAAGCTAGTTTGAGTTGGATTTCTGTCACTTACAACAAAACAATCCCTTATAAAGGGAGCTTCTAATAAAAGAAGTGTTGAGTCCAGCTCCCTCCGGTAGGGCCAGGACTTGGAAGTCCAGTAGACTCTTTCATGGAGCACAGAACACCTGGGCCTCATTTCTGTCTGCAAAGCTGTTAATGTAGGTAGCCTGCCTGTGATGGGGGATAAATCAGGAAGAAGCAGTAAGGAAAAGCTGGCCTGCTCTGGGAATTTATACAGGTTTTGGCCCAGGTGAGGATACACAGAGACGATCCTTCCTCACCACCACTAGGTGGAGTTTGAGCACTTCGGGTGCGCGCTCAGCAGCCAAAAGGAACCCATCAGTGTCTAGGCTACCAAGGAAGAGGCAAGAAAGACACAGCCCCCTGCCCTCCAAGCCTCCCCGTCTTTCTCGCTCCCTCTCTATGTTACCACCCCTTCTTTCAGACACCTGGGGACTTTTACGTTCCCTATGCAACTCCTCTCAAATCTGATTCATGACATTCACATCCAGGAAAAAATGGTAACAGCC
This sequence comes from Homo sapiens, assembly GCF_000001405.40. Classification (NCBI taxonomy): domain Eukaryota; kingdom Metazoa; phylum Chordata; class Mammalia; order Primates; family Hominidae; genus Homo; species Homo sapiens. The sequence continues at coordinate 8,300,588 of NC_000017.11, read as the reverse complement.
TACAATAAATCAAGACAGCATGATATTGGTCAAAGGCTAGACACACAGATCAAGGGAACAGAAGTGAGGGCACAGAAATCGAGCCACACAAATATAGAAAACAGATTTTTTACAAAGGACCAAAGGAAGAAGAAGAAAGAAGAAGGAGAAAAAGAAGAAGAAGGAGAAGAAGAGGAGGAAGAGGAAGAAGACGACGAAGGAGGAGGAGGAGGAAAGAAGAAAGAAGAAAAGAGAGAGGAGGATGAGAAGAAACCAAACCCAGACCTCACATAATTTACAAAAATTAACTCAAAATGGATCATAGACCTAAATGTAAAAAGTAAAACTATAAAGCTTCTAGAAGAAAACATAAAAGAAAATCTAGGTGACCTTGGGCCTAATTATACATTTTTGGGTTTTTTTTGTTTGTTTGTTTTGTTGTTGTTGTTGTTGTTGTTTTTTGAGACGGAGTCTAGCTCTGTTGCCCAGCTGGAGTGCAGTGGTGCGATCTCGGCTCGCTGCAAACTCCGCCTCCTGGGTTGAAGTGATTCTCCTGCTTCAGCCTCCCGAGTAGCTGGGATTACAGGTGCCCGCCACCACACCCAGCTAATTTTTGTATTTTTAGTAGAAATGGGGTTTCACCAGGTTGACCAGGCTGGTCTCGAACTCCTGGCCTTAGGTGATCCACCCACCTCGGCCTCCCAAAGTGCTGGGATTACAAGCATGAGCCACTGCATCCGGCCTCAATTTTTTTTTTTTTTTTTGAGACAGAGTCTCACTCTGTCGCCCAGGCTGGAGTGCAGTGACGCGATCTCGGCTCACTGCAAGCTCCGCCTCCTGGGTTCATGCCATTTTCCTGCCTCAGCCTCCCTAGTAGCTGGGACTACAGGCACCTGCCACCACGCCTGGCTAATTTTTTGTATTTTTAGTAGAGATGGGGTTTCATTGTGTTAGCCAGGATGGTCTCGACCTCATGACCTGGTGATCCGCCCTCCTCGGCCTCCCAAAGTGCTGAGATTACAGGCATGAGCCACCACACCCGGCCAATTTTTGTATTTTTTTTTTTTAGTAGAGATGAGGGTTCACCATGTTGGGCAGGATGGTCTCGATCTCTCGACCTCATGATCCGCTGACCTCAGCCTCCCAAAGTGCTGGGATTACAGGCCTGAGCCACCATGCCCAGCCCTGATATATATATATATAGATAGATAGATAGATAGATAGATAGATAGATAGATAGATAGATAGATGTAATTTTGAGACAGAGTTTAACTCTTGTTGCCCAGGCTGGAGTGCAATGGCGCAATCTCCTGCTCACTGCAACCTCCACTTCCGGGGTTCAAGTGATTCTCCTGCCTCAGCCTCCCGAGTAGCTGGGATTACAGGCATGCGCCACCACCCCCAGCTAATTTTGTATTTTTTTTAGTAGAGAAGAAGTTTCCCCATGTTGGTCAGGCTGGTTTCACACCCCCAACCTCAGGTGATCTGCCTGCCTTGGCCTCCCAAAGTGCTGGGATTACAGGTGTGAGCCACCACGCCCAGACTCCTGATATTTTTTTTATTTTATTTTTTTTGACTCCTGATATTTTTAATTAAAAAAAAAATTAGGAGGTCAGGGAACCCAATATGGAAGGCAGATTGTGGCAAAAGAATTTAATGATACTACTAATGTATGAAATAACTTTTCTGAAGGGAGCTGGGGGAAAGGTGCTGACCTGAGTAATTTTGGAAATGAGTCGAGTCTGTAAGATCAAAGGCAAATGGAACTACACATAAGCACTGTACCCTAGTTTATAAGATTGTTCTCCACAGGGGTATGTGTTAACAATTCTCTTTTGAGACATTATGATTACAAATAAAGAAATATTTTATTTTATTTTATTGAAACGGAATCTTGCTCTGTAACCTAGGCTGGAGTGCAACGACGCGATCTTGGCTCACAGCAACCTCCGCCTCCCAGGTTCAAGTAATTCTCGTGCCTCAGCCTCCCAAGTAGCTGGGACTACAGGTGCGTGCCACCACGCCCAGCTAATTTCTGTATTTTTAGTAGAGACGGGGTTTTGCCATGCTGCCCAGGATCGTCTTGAACTCCTGACCTCAGGTGATCCACCTGCCTCAGCCTCCCGAACTGCTGGGATTACAGGCATGAGCTACTGTGCCTGGCACATATAAAGAAAAATTTTAGGCTGGGTGTGGTGGCTCACCCCTGTAATCCTAGCACTTTGGGAGGCCGAGGCAGGTGGATCACCTGAGGTCGGGAGTTCGCAAACCAGCCTGACCAACATGGAGAAACCCTGTTTCTACTAAAAATACAAAATTAGCCAGGCGTGGTGGCGCATGCCTGTAATCTCAGCTACTTGGGAGGCTGAAGCAGGAGAATCGCTTGAACCCGGGAGGCAGAGGTTGCAGTATGCCAAGATCATGCCATTGTGCTCCAGCCTGGGCGACAACAGCAAAACTCCATCTCAAAAAAAAAAAGAAAGAAAGAAGAAAAAGTTTAGGCCGGGTGCAGTGGCTCATGCCTGTAATACCAGCACTTTGGGAGGCCAAGGCGGGAGGATCACCTGAGGTCAGGAGTTCGAGACCAGCCTGGCTAACATGGTGAAACCCTGTTTCTACTAAAAATACAAAAACAAATTAGCCAGGTGTGGTGGTTCGTGCTTGTAATTCCAGCTACTCAGGAGGCTGAGGCAGGAGAATCGCTTGAACCTGAGAGGTGAAGGTTGCAGTGAACTGAGATTGCAACATTGCACTCTAGCATGGGCAACAAGAACAAAACTCCGTCTCAAATAATAATAATAATAATAATAATAAAGAATTTAAAAAGAAAAACAAAACAATTCTGATACTCCTATACACGTGTCCTGGAATAAACAATTAAGTAAATAGATGGCAAATTATGGAAGCCAGGTTTCTCACAGTTGGGGTGGGAGTTTAGATAAACAAGGGAGGTGGCTAGAATGATCCATGTAGTAATGGATTAAAGTTGGAGACATCAGTATGAATTCATGCTTAGCTTAATATAGATATGGATGGTTATATATGGAAATACATGTTTGTGTATATACGTGGGTTAGTATACACACATATATTTCCTTGCTTTCTCAGATGTGAGGGTCCAGAAGCAATGATACCTCAAAAGCAACAAGCACACCTAGGGCCCAGATCTTGGATTCTAAAACCATTTGCCAATAAAAGAAAATAGGGGTCCTTGGAGAAATGGCTGATTGCAGGACTGTGGCAGGAAATACACAAAATGAGCCTGGAGCATTTTATAGTACCAGAAAGTAAGGTGACACTAAATAAAAACAAGGTTTTAATTAAAATACCAATGATGACAACAACACTGATGGGACTCTTATTTTTCTCCCTGGTTGAGGATTGACCGCCATCATGAATGACTTAGTAACTATCTGAACTAGGAAGTTCATGATCAACTGACTACATACTTCAGGAGGAACAAATGGTTATTGAGGTCCTTCACCCTGGGAAGACAACAGTACCTAAGACAGAAATTCAGGAAAAACTAGCCAAAATGTATGAGACTACACTAGATGTCATCATCTTTGTTTGTTTTTGTTTGTCTTTATGAGATGGAGTCTCCGTCTGTCACCCAGGCTGGAGTGTAGTGGCGCAATCTCGGCTCACTGCAACCTCTGCCTCCTGGGTTCAAGTGATTCTCCTGCCTCAGCCTCCCGAGTAGCTGGGATTACAGGTGCCTGCCACCACACCCGGCTAATTTTTGTAGTTTTAGCAGAGACAGGGTTTCACAATGTTGGCCAGGCTGGTCTCAAACTCCTGACCTCATGTGATCTGCCTGCCTCTGCCTCCCAAAGTGCTGGGATTACAGGCGTGAGCCACCACGCCTGGCCTCATCTTTGTATTTGGATTCAGAACTCATTTTGGTGGTGGCAAGACAACTGGCTTTGGCATGATTTATGATTCACTGGATTATGCAAAGAAAAATAAACCCAAATGCTGACTTCCAAGACATGGCCTGGATGAGAAGAAAAGAACTCAAGAAAGCAATGAAAGGAACACAAGACCAGAATGAAGAAAGGGGGACTGCAAAGGACAGTGTTGGTGTGGCAAAAAGCCAAAGGAGTAAAGATGCTACAGTAACATCTGTGGCCACTGTGGATTTTTCACAAGATTTATAAACTAAAAACTTTTGTGTGCAAAAAAAAATGGATGGGGGTATGCTAAAGAGACACAGGAGCCAACGGAAACAGCTCTCAAAGGCCAAAGCTAGAACGAAATTAGCTAGAAAATAAATATGAAGTATATTGGATTATAACCCAAAGTATAAATGTCCATGAGTCCATACTGATTAAATAAATGGTTGAATAAATAATGGAGGAGTAGAGACAAATATCTCATATGAAAGAACTCCAGGCCAGGGATGGTGGCTCACGCCTGTAATCCCAGCACTTTGGGAGGCTGAGGCGGGTGGATCACGAGGTCAGGAGATCGAGACCATCCTGGCTAACACGGTGGTCTCTATTAAAAATACAAAAAATAAGCCGGGCGTGGTGGCGGGCACCTGTAGTCCCAGCTACTTGGGAGGCTGAGGCAGGAGAATGGCGTGAACCCGGGAGGCGGAGCTCTCAGTGAGCTAAGATCGCGCCACTGCACTCCAGCCTGGGCGACAGAGCGAGACTCCGTCTCAAAAAAAATAAAAAATAAAAATAAAGAGCCTAAGGACTAAGGATTTAATTAACCAAGCACCAACCCGTGCAGCCTCAGGAGACTGGTCCCGCAGCGCAAGTGTGTCCCTCTACCCCCCGCAAGCCGGGCCGCGTCTTCCTGGCTCTCCTGGCGCCGGCACCGAGCAGGGCGTGGACCTGAACTTATGTGACCCCACCCGGTCACAACCCGGGGTAGGAAGCTAAAGCCGTCCGCCCACCCGAGGGGCGGTCCCAGCACCCCAGTGGGGGACTGCTGCGCTCGGCCTCTGTGTTCGATCGGGAACCCAGGTCTCTTCCCTGCCAATAACAAAACCGCCGCGTCCCGGGCCTCCCTTCCGGAGCCGGAGTCGGCGGCCGAGCGCTGGTGGCGGAGCCTGGACAGTTAATTCCAACCGCCTCCGGGTGATTCCGGGGACAGGAGCGCCGAGAGCTCCTCCCTTTGGCCGCGGAGCCGGCTCGGCGCTGATTGGCTGAGGGCCTCGGTTGTGGCTCTTGAAGGCTCCCCATTGGCCCCGCGCTCCAGTGGCAGGAGTGTGGCGGCCCGGCCTCCGCAGGCTACCCGGGGTTGAAGCTACTGCGAGCTCCGGTGGCTGCCTGGGGACGCTCAGGGACGCTCATTCCTGGCCAGAGTCCTGACTTCTTTCTCGGATCGAGATCTCGTTGCTGGCTCGAGGAAATCACCGGCTCTTCTCCCGGATCCTTTTCTTCTCTCACTTGCTGGCTTTCTTCTTCCTGCCTCCCTGGCTTCCATCTCCCAACCCCGCGATTCCCTCCTCTACTCCCGTGCTCCCGTCGCCCGCCATCCTGAGCCATCCCACCTGCAACCTTCTGTCTTTTGCCCCTCCTTGACCTCAGAGGGTCCTGCCTTAAGCTTCTCACCAGAATCTCCTAGATTTCTATCTCTTCCCTGCTTGCCAGCTCTTGACTCCCAAATTCCAGCTGACGTTTGACCACTTGACATTTGACCCTGACACCCTTGACTGCAAATCTAAATTCTTATCTTCTGCAACCTGTACTGCTGAAACAGGCCTTCCCCCTGTCTTCCAACCCCGCTTTCTGACACCCATTTTTACTTTCTTACTCTTGGGTCAGTTCCTGCTACAGCTATCCCACCATGGACTTCTTGATGAGTGGCCTGGCAGCCTGCGGGGCCTGTGTATTCACCAATCCCCTGGAGGTGGTGAAGACCAGGATGCAGTTGCAAGGAGAACTGCAGGCCCCTGGCACATACCAGCGGCACTACCGAAATGTCTTCCATGCCTTCATCACCATCGGCAAGGTGGATGGCCTTGCTGCCCTGCAGAAAGGCCTGGCCCCCGCCCTCTTGTACCAGTTCCTGATGAATGGCATCCGACTGGGCACCTATGGGCTGGCTGAGGCTGGGGGCTACCTGCACACAGCCGAAGGCACCCACAGTCCTGCCCGCAGCGCAGCAGCTGGGGCCATGGCTGGGGTCATGGGAGCCTACTTGGGGAGCCCCATCTACATGGTAAGAAGAGGGCTCTTGCCTGGGACCTTCAGGGCAGATCCTCGTTGTAGGATAGGAGCTGTTCTTTCCCAAGGGCATAGGTGGCAGAGTGCTGCCCCACTGCAAGCAGGGAAAGGCATCAGGAAAGTGCTGGTAGGCTTCGGAGTCTTCTGATCTGCCCTATACACACCCATCTGATGGACACGATTGAATGTATTGATTAAGATTATGGGCTTTGGGGCCGGGTGCAGTGGTTCACACCTGTAATCCCAGCACTTTGGGAGGCCAAGGCGGGCGGATCACGAGGTCAGGAGATGGAGACCATCCTGGCTAACACAGTGAAACCCCGTCTCTACTAAAAATACAAAAAATTAGCCGGGTGCGGTGGTGGGCGCCTGTAGTCCCAGCTACTCGGGAGGCTGAGGCAGGAGAATGGCATGAACCCGGGAGGCGGAGCTTGCAGTGAGCCGAGATCCGGTCACTGCACTCCAGCCTGGGCCACAGAGCAAGGCTACGTCTCACAAAAAAAAAAAAAAAAGATTATGGGCTTTGGAATCAGACTTTCTGGAACTAAAATCCTGGCTTTGAAAATTACTAGTTGTTGGCCGGGCGCGGTGGCTCACGCCAGTAATCCCAGCACTTTGGGAGGCCGAGGCGGGCGGATCACGAGGTCAGGAGATGGAGACCATCCTGGCTAACACGGTGAAACCCCGTCTCTACTAAAAATACAAAAAATTAGCCGGGCGTGGTGGTGGGCGCCTGTAGTCCCAGCTACTCCGGAGGCTGAGGCAGGAGAATGGCCTAAACCCAGGAGGCGGAGCTTGCAGTGAGCTGAGATCCGGCCACTGCACTCCAGCCTGGGCCAGAGAGAGAGACTCCGTCTCAAAAAAAAAAAAAAAAAGAAAAGAAAGAAAATTACTAGTTGTTGAGCTTCAGTTGCCACATCTGTAAAATGGTGATAATTATAGTGCCCTTTCTGTGTGATTATTGGGAGGATCGAGGGAGACAAATGCGGTAGACATGAAAGCATTAGTGCGAATCCTGGCAGACAGTAAGCATTTGGTAGCATTTGTTTTTATTATTATGTGTTGATATTGAGGTTGGATTTGTGAAGGGGAGGATAAGGAATTTAACATACGTCAGAGAGTCTAGGGATCAGGAAGGCCCTGGGCATCACAGAATTAACAATCTCAACATCTGCCCCTTTGAGTTATCTGGTATAGGTGAAGGGTCAAGAGCCTGAGGCCCAGAAAGGGGAAGTGACCCACTCAAGGTCACACAGCTGTTTATTGCTAGGACTAGGCCCTGCTTAGTGCTCCCAAGAGCAAAAGAGACGGGGAAGTAGTATGTCCTGTAGCAGAGGCAGTCTGGTCTCATTTCAAGGTGTGAGTTTCAGGGACAGTGGTCTCCCCAAAGTCAGCTCGATACCTCTGTGGGGGTTGGGGGCTAGAGAGCAAGTTTTGCCCAGAGTCTGATGGGGAGCCTGATAGAAGTGGTGGCTGGAGATCCAGTCTGGGAATGGGAGCTAGCATGAGAGGCGGGACACCAGGTCTTGCCTAACATGAACAGCCTTAGGAAATATTGCCATTCTCCAACCACTCCACCCCCGACTGCTAGCCCCAAGGGAAAGAGGATATGAAGGGGTTGGGGTGTCTTGCAGTGCTGGGAGATCCACCCCCCTGGGGCTGGAGCCTAGAGACAGAGTCTTTTTGTTAACCAGTTTGTTAAGTAGGAAGAACAATAATCAGAGTAAGAGGCTATTCATTGCTGAACACCCTAGAGGAAGTGTGAGGGGGTGAGACATTTGGTTCTCAGGTAGGAGGATGGCCACTGGGGCACAGGCTATGATATTCTCTTGTTCCCAGGTGAAGACACACCTGCAGGCACAGGCAGCCTCAGAAATTGCTGTAGGGCACCAGTATAAGCATCAGGTGAGGGTTCCCAAGTCTGCCAAAGTCCCTGACCATCCTTTCTCTTTTCCCCTAGCTTTCTGCCTGCACCCAACAGATCCAATCCCAGCCACTGCTCTGCTCAACCCATCGGTTCTGTCCCATTTTGCCCCTGGAGTCTACCCAGACCCTCTTTACTCTTTTTTTAGATGGAGTCTCGCTCTGTTGCCCAGGCTGAAGTGCATTGGCACGATCTCGGCTCACTGCAACCTCCGCTTCCCGGGTTCAAGTGATTCTCCTGCCTCAGCCTCCCGAGTAGCTTGGGACTACAGGCGTGCACCACCACACCCAGCTAAATTTTTTTTGTTTTGTTTTGTTTTGTTGAGACAGAGTCTTGCTCTGTTGCCCAGGCTGGAGTGCAGTGGCGCAGTCTTGGCTCACTGCAACCTCCACCTCCCGGGTTCAAGTGATTCTCCTGCTGCAACCTCTTGAGTAGCTGGGATTACAGCCATGCGCCACCACGTCCAGCTAATTTTTGTAATTTTAGTAGAGATGGGGTTTCACCATGTTGGTCAGGCTGGTCTCGAACTCCTGAACTTGTGATCCGCCCGCCTCGGCCTCCCAAAGTGCTGGGATTACAGGCATGAGCCACTGCACCCGGCAATTTTTGTATTTTTAATAGAGATGGGGTTTCACCATGTTGGCCAAGCTGGTCTCAAACTCCTGACCTCAGGTGATCCACCCGCCTGGGCCTCCCAAAGTGCTAGGATTACAGGCGTGAGCCACCGTGCCTGATGCCTCTTTCCAATATGTACTCCAGTTCCTCTAATTTTCTGCCCCTGTTTCTCCTGACCAGTGAATGGCCTCACTTGCATACATCCCGCCCCAGTTCTTGGGTGCCCAGGGAAGGAACAATGGGGTGGCTAGACAACCAAGGGCCCACATTCTGGCTCTAAGCCCACATTGAACTGGTTGTCTGGACAAGAGATTCCTATTAAGGACCCATCCTTGGCAGTGTTAGGATGGCAGCCCCTGATGCTGGGCTGTCTGAACCCCACCCCCGGTCTTCCCCACACTAGGGCATGTTTCAGGCGCTAACCGAGATTGGCCAGAAACATGGTCTGGTGGGGTTATGGCGTGGGGCTCTGGGCGGCCTGCCCCGAGTTATCGTCGGTTCCTCCACCCAGCTGTGCACCTTCTCATCCACCAAGGACCTCCTGAGCCAGTGGGAGGTACTGCCTGGGAAATGGGTGGGTCTGTTTCGGGAAGGGGGGAAGGGGAGGGCAAGCTGCACTAGGCCCTGGAGGGGATGGTGCCCAACATTCACAGGTGAGGGAGTGGCAGGAGGGCTTGGAGGTCAACTCTTTAGACCCTTCCCACAGTTCTCTTGTCACTTCCTCCCAGAAGGGGTACCTGAGCCTTCAGGGTACCCTGGCCTTCCTCCTTCTCACTGTTTTTGCACTGTTATAACTGGTGCAGTGGAAGCTCCCCCAGTTACCAGCATCTGTGTCCCCAGGGCAGGGACTGTCCTGTCCTTGGGGTGTAATAGTTGGCTGGTTGACAACGCTCTTCCTCTCTACCCCCTTAGATCTTTCCTCCCCAGAGCTGGAAGTTGGCGCTGGTGGCTGCCATGATGAGTGGCATTGCAGTTGTCTTGGCCATGGCACCCTTTGATGTGGCCTGCACAAGGCTCTACAACCAGCCCACAGATGCACAGGGCAAGGTAAGGAAGTGCTCTGGGATGCAGGCGGGAAGCAGGGGATGGGGAAGGCAGATTGCGGGTGCAGGTGGGATAGCCTGAAATGCAGCCTGTAGAGGTGCTGCCCCTGGTGGGCTCTGACAAACTCCTTCTCTGTGCTCTCCCTCCCTCTCTGACACACTCTCAGGGCCTCATGTACCGGGGGATACTGGACGCTCTGCTGCAGACAGCTCGGACCGAGGGCATTTTTGGCATGTACAAGGGTATAGGTGCCTCCTACTTCCGCCTCGGCCCCCACACCATCCTCTCCCTCTTCTTCTGGGACCAGCTGCGCTCCCTCTACTACACAGACACTAAATAACAGCCGCTTTCCCAGTCTCCACCAAATGAGCACTCCTTGGCCACTTGTGCCTCCACCACTATGTCCTGGTGACTACTGATTAGGTGACCTTTCATCCATCCATGGGGGACAGCCAACCCCACTCCCCATCTGTTCTCAGGGTTGAATCACTACAAGAGATGAGTTTCCCTTCTTTCCTTGGGTGTTGCTTTAAACCTTCCCTACCCATTCCCTGGGTAACTCACACCCCTCTCTCAGGGCTGAACGAGTCATCCCAAAGTGTATTTCCTCCCACTCACCACTGCCACCCTTGAGTCCCTCCTGCTCCCATGCACAGTTTTAAACTCCTCCCTCCAAAACCAAAGGGAATCGAGAGACCCAATTCCCAGGCGTCTGGGACCCAGGTGTCCTGTTAGATTCAAAGGCACAGAGATTATATTGATTATAAAGCAAGTTTATTCTGAAGAGGGATTGTCTTATGTTTACGCACAGGGAAGAAATAAGAGGAAACCCTCTTTTCAACCTCTTTTCCCCCTCACAGAACCGAGTCCCCAAGTTCTCAGCAACATCATGCAGTGCTTCAGCGCCTTTACTGGGGACCAAAGATGTTAGGATCGTGAAGGGTCAGACTGGTCACCAGCTGTTCAAAGTCACCCAGGCTCCAGGGTGCAGGTGACAGATTTTCGGGGCCAAGAGATGACCTGTTGTCAGGGCTTGGGGTGGGGGAACAGATGGAGACAGAACATCATCCAGGCCTGAGGTTTGGAAATTGCCAATTCCTGTTCCCCAGAGGACCTGGGTATCAGTTACCCCAAACCTCTGGCCCACTCCTGCTTCCTTGGAGGATCCCACCAGTGAGTCTCCCTGTTCTGTCCCTCCCAGCCCGATTCTCCTGGGAACCCAGTCATGAGATACCCGCCCGTTCCTTCCTCCTTACGGGGGCTGATTGAAGGTAAGCAAGAGATCAGTCTGGTACTGGGGCAGCCTCAGCAAGGCCTGATGAAGTGTCACGTCCTTTGCTACCTAAGGGGATCAGAGTCAGGATGCTTACCTGGATCTCTGCGTCCCCGCTACCGCCCTTCCAGGACATTACACACTCTCGGGCCCTCACCTGCTGGTTTTCCTTAGCTATCTGCTGCTTGCCAGAGAGGACCCAGGCTTCTTGACAGCGGCCCCTCAGGGCCAGGTTCTCCAAACTGAGAGGCTGAACAGACTCCACATGGACAGCCCTAGCCCCCTGCACGCCACCAACATCCTCAAAGTGGTACCTGGAGTAGGGAAGCGGGGTCAGGAAGGGACATCTCTGGTCGCCTCCCCGGGAGCATCTTTAAGTTGCAGGCCTGGCTCCCGGCCCGTGCGTGGTCTCACCGCCCGGATTAACCGTCGGCCGCGGGCCCCGCCCACTGGTCCGACCCCGCCCCTGCCATTGGCCAGCCGGGGGCCATTCCCTCACCGCGCAGCCGCTTCGCCCCGTACGTGGGCCTGCAGCTCGAGAAGTTCCACTATCAGGCTCTGGTCCGTCACGGGATGGCAGAAAACTTCTTGATTGTCCGGGACCGGTCGGAGGTCGCTGGAGTGAGGCGAGGCAGACCCTGGTTGACCCCGGTCTCTTCCCACAACCCACCCAGTCAGCCGCCCCTGGGCGCCCCGGCCTTCTCACCTTACGTCAATGGCCCCCATGGGGAGGATGGCGGAAAAGGCGCCCCCGAACAGCGGGCAGTCTCTCGTGGGCTCCATGGGTCTGAGGCTGGGTTATGGGCATTAGAAAGGTTTAAAAGAAGTCCACATTGGGTCACGTGGCATCGGCTCCCTGGGTTTCGCAGCTGCCACCGCCACCCGGGTCTGGCTTAGCTCCCGGATCCTTTAAGATTTGGCTCCGCCCTGCGCTCTCGTTGGCCAATCGGCGCCAAGACCCTGGGGGCGGGGGTCAGCGGCTTTGCTCCGGAAGCCGCGCTCTTAGGAGTGCGCCTGGCGGGACGGTGGGGTCTGCCTTGGGGTTGGACTTAGGGTTAGGGTCTATGTCGCCCCCGGTGGTCACGAGCATGCTCCCGCCAGCCTCCTCTTGATTGATTGATTGATTGATTGATTGACAGGTCTCGCTGTGTCGCCCAGGCTGTAATGCAGTGGCGCGATCACCGCTCACTGCAGTCTCCACCTCCAGGACTCAAGTGATACTCCTGCCTCAGCCTCTTGAGTGGCTCCTGCTCCCGCCACCACGCCCGGCTAAATTTTTAATTACTTGTAGAAATGGGGCGGGGTGGGGAGTGTCTCCCAATCTTGCCCAGGCTGGCCTCAAACTCCTGGACTCAAGCGATCCTCCCGCCTCGGCTCCCTAAGTGCTGGAATTACAGGCGAGAGCCACAGCGCCTGGCCTCCTCGTCCTTTTCAAGTGGTCACACCTTCCAAGAAGGTCGCCTGAGACCCTCCTGAGGGGCAGGTGCTCGTCAAAGGGGCCCACGTCTAGGTAGGGTCTCTTGAGTCAGGAAAGCATAGTTTCACGGTGTTCTGGGCCTCTGAAAGAAGAATGGGCTGCCACCCAGACCGCTAATTCATAGATCTGCTGCTGGGAATTAGGGGAACAATGCGTCCAGGTTAGGATTCAGGTCTCACATCTTCCTGAAAGTGAGAGCCAACCTGGGTATTAGAAATCTAATTCCTCTCAAATATTTGCCTTGGGAATGCTCCCGGGCAGGTGCAACCCCACCCCCAGCTCCACACACCTGGACAGAAGCACAGATTAAACCCTCTTTTGTTTGTCTTTTACAGATTTGTTGTGTTCTTTAAGTTTTAACTTCACTATATCATTTCAGTTCATTTCTCTATTCATCTTTGATCCTCAGCACCCGGCACGGTGTTTAGAGCATAACAGACCTGATATATATTGGGTTTTTTTGTTTTGTTTTGTTTTTGAGATGGAGTTTCACTCTTGTTGCCCAGGCTGGAGTGCAATGGCATGATCTTGGCTCACTGCAACCTCCGCCTCCTGGGTTCAAGCTGTTCTCCTGCCCCAACCTCCCAAGTAGCTGGATTACAGGCATGCACCACCACACCCAGCTAATTTTGTATTTTTAGTAGAGATGGAGTTTCTCCATGTTGGTCAGGTGAGTCTCGAACTTCCGACCTCAGATGATCCGCCTGCCTTGGCCTCCCAAAGTGCTGGGATTATTACAGGCGTGAGCCAGCGTGCCCAGCCCAGACCTAATATATATTGTTAAGTGATTGAATAAACTCAATGCAAATGTCTGGAACCCAGGAGATCACCCATACCCTCATGGATTCTAGATGTCACCTACTTCCCAGCCAAGAATTGGGCAAGAGGACTCTGATCTTGAGGCCATTCCACAGGGTTCCAAGTGCTGACCATACCTCTGGACCCTAATGACTTAGTGAAATGAAGCCAAAGGGTACATATTTATTGGTCTCTTACCTTGCCAGGCCCTAATGTGAAGGGCTGGAGATACAAAGACATTTAGGACACAGCCCCCGATGCCTCACTGAAGGAACAGTGGAGCACACTTTGAGTCTTTTTTTGTTTTTTTTTTTGAGAGGCGGTCTCACTGTTGCCAAGACTAGACTGTAGTGGTGCAGTCGTAGCTCACTGCAGCCTCAACCTTGTGGGCTCAAGCCATCCTCCTGCCTCAGCCTCCTGAGTAGCTGGGACTACAGGCATGCACCACCATGCTCCGGTAATTTTTGTGTGTGTGTGTGTGTTTTATTTTAGGGATGGAGTCTCACTGTGTTGCCCAGGCTGGTCTCGGACTTCTGGTCTCAAGTGATCCTCCTGCCTTGGCCTCCCAAAGTGATGGGATTATAGGCATGCGCCACCATGCCTGGCCCATACTTTGAGTCTTAAAGTTTGACTCAGAATTCAGTAGGACATCCTAGGGGTATTCTAGCTGGGGGAACATCAGGAGCAAAAACTTGGAGATGAGAGGGCATATTTTGGAGAAAGCAAGTGTATCTGTTTGGCAAGGGAGGGTAGGATGGGAATGGGTGGCAGGGAGCTGCAAACACAGTCAGGTGTGCAGGGTTTTTGTAGCGCACACTAAGGAGCTTGACTCCTCATTTCTTACTATAGCCATCAGACTCCTCTCTGAGTCTCATTTCCTCATCTCTAAAATGCTGTTGGGGGGCCAGGCGCCGTGGCTCACACCTGTAATCCCAGCACTTTGGGAGGCCCAGGTGGGTGGATCACCTGAGATCAGGAGTTCTAGACCAGCCTGGCCAACATGGTCAAACCCTGTCTCTACTAAACATACAAAAAAAAAAAAAAACAAAGGAAGAAATCAGATATGGATGTAGTTGAGTCTGACCTATTTCTGGGTAAAGAGAGTAGAATAAGTTTGCTGTATGAGGAATTTGACAGAGCGGGGGCGTTACAGGCTCTAGAGGGAAAGAAGGACCCCAGCCATGGGAAACAAAAGGAGCCAGGTCAGAGGAGTCCACCCCATGATGCTTCTCTGGGATAATGAGTGACAGACCTCTCTGTCCCTCTCTCCTCCTTGCTGCCAGCCTGCTCTCCAGCTCCATTCCCCACCAGGGGCAATACTGGCTCTGGCTGCTTTGGGAGCAGTCAAGCAGGTAGAGTCCTTGGAAAGGGACCTACAGGGACATAGAAGTTAACAGGGTGCCTGCACCAGGCATAAGGGGGTGTGGAGGCCTGTTACATGGGCCCAGAGGAGGTCACGCCAGGTCAGGAAGGCTGAGAAAAAAGCCCCCCCAACTTCCTCATTTTGGGTGTCTGGCCTGTCTCATGTTCTCCCATGAGCCCTACGCAGCTGGGGACCCCTGGCCCTCCACAATTCTGTGGGCTCTTGGGGGCTGCTCAGCCAGACCTCCTCTGAATGAATGGGGTGGAAGGCCACCCTCACTTGGCAAATCCCCACGCTTGGCTCCACTTCCCCTTCTCCCTTCACCTTTTTTTTTGTGTGCCTGTCAATTCTGCTGGCCCTGCCACCTGTCGACTCCCTCAAGTGTTCAAATTCCAACTTCCCAAGGGACAGGATCCAACTGGGTCGATTAGTTGTTATTCAATCTGAAAGTACCTATTTGGCCGGCTCTCCTGCCTGGCCACTCCTCAGGCCACCACCCAAACACAAGGGAGATCTCTGGTCCAGCTGGCTGTGGCTAGGATGATAAGTATCAGGGGACAAATCTCAGTAGAGAGAAGGCCAGCAGCCACTTTTCTCAGGCGAATGTGAGGGTATGGCTCGCTGTCAGCCCACTGGTTGCAAGTAGGCCTGCAACTGATTGATTCTCTACACCTGGGACATTCCCTTATCCAATGCCCTGCATGCAGTTGATGCAGTTGTTTGCTATGGGGACAAGAGTCCCAGAGACTCTCCCCTTTAGGGCACCAAGAGATGGACTCAGATCAGAGAGACAACACCACACCCAAAGTCAAGCATTCCTTTGAGTTAGGACAATGAATATTTCTATTAAGCAGGGGTTTTCGTCCTTTTTTCTACTGTGGACTGCTTTGGCAGTTTTGTGAAGCCCATGATCCCCTATTCGGTGTAATGTTATTATTTTTATTTTTTCTGTGTTTTTGAGACAGGGTCTTATTCTGTCACCCAGGCTGGAGTGCAGTGGCATGATAACAGCTCACTGCAGCCTCAACCTCCTGGGCTTAAGCCATCCTCCCACCTTGGACTCTCAAAGAGATTACAGGCATGGGCCAGGTGCGGTGGCTCACGCCTGTAATCCTAGCACTTTGAGAGGCCTAGGTGGGCAGATTGCTTGAGCTCAGGAGTTTGAGACCAGCCTGGAAAACAAAGTGAGACTCTGTCTCTATTACCAAAAAAAAAAAAAAAAATTAGCCAGGCATGGTGGCATATGCCTGTAGTGCCAGCTACTTGGGAGGCCAAGGTGGGAGGATGACTTGAGCCTGGGAGGCAGAGGTTGTAATGAGCCAAGATCACGCCATTGCACTCCAGCCTGGTCAACAGAGCCAGACTGTTTCTCAAAAAATAAAAAAGAAAATTAAACCCAGATATTTGATAGAGTACAAGTCTACTTCTTTGTTATCATATTAACTAGATCTAGCAGCAGTCTCTAATAAATGTAATAAAAAACTAGCAATGCATACAAATTATGGTTCAAGATATCCACAGCCATTCTAAAGTAAGCATATCTGTAACTGCTATTGAGATGAAACCACAGATACTGCTAATACTACTGTGGTTTGTTACCTAAATTCACAGTGAAAGGAAATGCTAAATTTCAGTTAAAAGGTTACTGAAAACATGGCTGTACGCAGTGGCTCACCCCTGTGATCCTAACACCGTAGGAGGCCCAGGAGGGAGGACTGCTTGAGCCCAGAAGTTCGAGACTAGGCTGCGCAACATGGCAGAACACCAACTCTACCAAAAAAATACAAAAATTAGCTGGGCATAGTGACTCGCACCTCCCAGCTACTGGGGAGGCTGAGGCGGGAGGATTGCTTCAGCCTGGGAGCTTGAGGCTGCAGTGAGTCGACATCATGCCACTGCACTCCAGCCTGTGTGACAGAGGGAGACCCTGTCTCAAAAAAAAAAAAAAAAAAAAGAGCCAGGAGTGGTGGTACACACCTGTAGTATCAGCTACTTGGGAGGCTGAGGTGGGAGGATGGCTTGAGCCGGGAGGTTGAGGCTGCGGTGAGCCGAGATGCCACTGCACTCTAGCCTGGGTGACAGAGGGAGACCCTGTCTCAAAATATCATAGCCTGGGCGACAAGAGCTAAACTCCGTCTCAAAAAAAAAAAAAGGAAAAAGAAAGATGAAATTTTTATCCAAGCTCATTGACTAAAGACTAAGAAACCCAGCTATGAAGTATTTTGTGTATTTAGCCCTGTACTAGGCTTTAGGAGAGGGTCTAAAAATGGGTAAAACATGGCCCTTCTTTCTGGGCCTTCAGCCTGAACAGGAAGAGCTAGGGCGTGCTACAGTTCATATCCTGTAATGAGATCTAGTTTGTGACCCAGCTTAGTCCCCGGCTGAGAAACCTGCCTTGGGGAGATGCTTAGGATTGTCTGGCAATCAGTGGTAGCCACAGTAGATACACAATACACAAAGGCCTGCTATAACGAAGTTAGTGTCTGAGGAAGACCAGTGTGTCCTCGTGTTTGGAGCAATTCTATACCTGTCAGTCCTTTCCCTGCAACTTTTCAGCCCCATATCCCATCATTTTCCCCTTATAGTCTTTTTTTTTTATGTTTTGAGACGGAGTCTCGCTCTGTCGCCCAGGCTGGAGTGCAGTGGCATGATCTTGGCTCACTGCAACCTCCACCTCCCGGGTTCAAGTGATTTTGCTGCCTCAGCCTCCCGAGTAGCTGGGATTACTGGCATGTGCCACCACTCCTGGCTAATTTTTGTATTTTTAGTAGAGATGGGGTTTCACCATGTTGGCCAGCCTGGTCTTGAACCCCTGACCTCAGGTGATCCACCCGCCTCTGCCTCCCAAAGTGCTGGGATTACAGGTGTGAGCCACTGCGCCCTGCCATTTTCCCCTTATAGTCTGTTTCTCCTTATAGACACTGAACTTTCTTCAATCCCTTGACTGAGTCAACCTCTTTCATGCCTCTGGGCATTTGCACATGTGATGCCCTCTGCCTAGAACTTTCTTTCCCCCTTCTTCCCTAGCTAGCTCATCCTCAGATCTCCAGAAAACATTTGTGGATTAACTGCTGGCTCCTGCTGTGCTGCTATGCTCCTGTCACCACTGCAGGCGCCTCACTGTGTAACACACTAAGCACCAGGAGAGAGGGGTCCATGTCTGTCTTTTCACCATCAACTTTCCACTGACTTGTACAGGGCCTGGCCTGTATTTATTGGATGGCAGTTAAGAGATAGGTTATTTACCAGTTAGGCCCTTTTAAAAGATGTTGTACAATAAAGAACTTGACTGGGCCAGGCGCAGTGGCTCAGCCTGTAATCCCAACACTTTGGGAGGTTAAGGTGGGACGATCACTTGAGCCCAGGAATTCGAGACCAGCCTGGGCAATGTAGCCAGACCCCATCTCAACCAAAAATTTAAATAATTAGCTGGGCATGGTGGTATGCACACCTGTAGTCCCAGGGAAGCTGAAGCAGGAGGATTGCTTGAGTCCAGGAGTTTGAGGTTGCAGTGAACTATGATTACACCACTACACTCCAGCCTGGATGACAGAACAAGACTCCATCTCTTTTTTTCTCTTTTTTTTTGAGACGGAGTTTCGCTCTTGTTGCCCAGGCTGGAGTGCAATGGCACGATCTCGGCTCACCACAACCTCCGCCTCCCAAGTTCAAGTGATTCTCCTGCCTCAGCCTCCTGAGTACCTGGAATTACAGGCATGCACCACCATGCCCAGCTAATTTTTTTTTAGTTTTAGTAGAGATGGGGTTTCTCCATGTTGGTCAGGCTGATCTCGAACTCCCAACCTCAGGTGATTCGCCCGCCTCAGCCTCCCAAAGTGCTGAGATTACAAGCGTGAGCCACCACGCCTGGCCAAGACTCCATCTCTTAAAAAAAATAAAAATAAAAATAAAAATGAAAGAGCAGGCGTAGTGGCTCACGCCTGTAATCCCAGCACTTTGGGAGGCAGAGGCGGGTGGATCACCTGAGGTCAGGGGTTCAAGACCAGGCTGGCCAACATGGTGAAACCCCGTCTCTACTAAAAATACAAAACTTAGCCGGGCGCACTGGTGGGTGCCTGTAATCCTAGCTACTAAGGAGGCTGAGGCAGGAGAATCACTTGAATCCGGGAGGGGGAGGTTGCAGTGAGCCCAGATGGTGCCACTGCACTCCAGCCTGGGCGATAGAGTAAGACTTTGTCTCAAAAGCAAAAACAAAAAGGCCAGGCACGGTGGCTCAAGCCTGTAATCCCAGCACTTTGGGAGGCCAAGGCGGATGGATCACGAGGTCAGGAGTTCAAGATCAGCTTGGCCAACATGGTGAAACCTCATCTCTACCAAAAATACAAAAATTAGCTGGGCATGGTGGCACATGCCTGTAATTCCAGCTACTCGGGAGGCTGAGGCAGGAGAATTGTTTGAACTGGGACCCGGGAGGCAGAGGTTGCAGTGAGCTGAGATTGAGCCACTGCACTCCAGCCTGGGCTACAGAGGGAGACTCTGTCTCAAAACAAACAAACAAACAAACAAAAAACTTAATTGCCCTTTATGCCTGGTTCCTGAAAAACTCAAAATCTGTGGAATTTCCCATTATTGGAGTTGTTATTCTTGATAGGCCCTAATGGTTTATACTAATGAGGTGACTCATGGTGGGCCTCTAGATAGGTTATGCTAAGGACATGAATCAGGATGGGGGTGAGCCACACCAGAAAGATCAACCATGTGATTAGAGGGTTGGAGCTTTGGCCCAGTTGATATCAGCCCAATAAAACCCCAATAGGAATTCTGGACACTGAAGTTCAGTGAGGCTTCCTGGTTGGTGAACACATTGATGTGCCAGTAGGCTCTGTGCCCTGACTCCTCAGCAGTCCCCACAGGAGCTCAGATTCTGGGACCTGTTCCAACCTTCCCTATGCATATTCTTTTTTGTTGTTGTTGTTGAGACGGAGTCTCGCTCTGTCACCCAGGCTGGAGTGCAGCGGCACGATCTCTGCTCACTGCAGGCTCCACATCCTGGATTCACGCCATTCTCCTGCCTCAGCCTTCAGAGTAGCTGGGACTACAGGCACCCGCCACCACGCCTGGCTAATTTTTTGTATTTTCAGTACAGATGGGGTTTCACCGTGTTAGCCAGGATGGTCTTGATCTCCTGACCTCGTGATCTGCCCGCCTCGGCCTCCCAAAGTGCTGGGATTATAGGCGTGAGCCACCATGCCCGGCCTTTTTTTTTTTTTTTTTTTTTTTTTGTGAGTCTCACTCTGTCGCCCAGGCTGGAGTGCAGTGACACAATCTCATGTCCGGCTAATTTTTGTATTTTTATTTGTTTTTTTTTGTTTTTGTTTTTGAGACGGAGTTTCGCTATTGTTGCCCAGGCTGAAGTGCAATGGTGCAATCTCGGTTCAGCGCAACCTCCGCCTCCCAGATTCAAGCAATTCTCCTGCCTCAGCCTCCTGAGTAGCTGGGATTACAGGCATGCACCACCACGCCTGGCTAATTTTGTATTTTTAGTAGAGACGGGGTTTCACCATCTTGGTCAGGCTGGTCTTGAACTCCTGACCTCAGGTGATCCGCCCTCCTCGGCCTCCCAAAGTGCTGGGATTACAGGCGTGAGCCACCGCGCCCAGCCTAATTTTTGTATTTTTAGTAGAGATGGGGTTTTGCCATGTTGTCCAAGCTGGTCTTGAACTCCTGACCTCAGGTGACCTGCTTGCCTCGGCCTGTCAAAATGCTGGGATTACAGGCGTGAGCCACCGTGCCTGGACACCAATGCATATTCTTTATAATAAAACTATAATGCCACAATCATAAGTATAGTGCTTCTCTGAGTTCTGTGAGTCCTTCTGGTGAATTATTGAGCCTGTGGGGATTGTGGGAACTTCTGAACATAAAGCCAGTCAGGCAAAGTGTGGCTGACTTGGGGACGCCTGAGATTTGTGACTAGTGTCTGAAATGAGGGGAGTCTTGTGGAAGACTCAGACCTTTACTTCAGGGATCTGACACTAACTCTGGGTGGTCAGCCCCAGACTTGTATAGTGTGTGTGGAGGGATGAGAGTCTGTGCTAAGCTGTTACAGTTAGGAGAGGGAGAGATGAAGCCAGGACGAGCAATGCAGAAGGAAAACAATAATATGGGACAATGCACAAGGTGGAGGGGAAAAATGTAGAGCAGGTTCCAAGATGGAAGCCTGGTCACGAAGAATGGAGACACCAGCCGGGTGGCTCACGCCTGTAATCCCAGCACTTTGGGAGGCTGAGGCAGGCAGATCACCAGGTCGGGAGTTCAAGACGAATATGGTGAAACCCCGTCTCTACTAAAAATACAAAAATGAGCCAGGTGTGGTGGCGCACACCTGTAATCCCAGCTACTCAAGAGGCTGAGACAGGAGAATCACTTGAACCCGGGAGGCGGAGGTTGCAGTGAGCTGAGATCGTGCCACTGCACTCCAGCCTGGGCAACCAAACAAGACTTTGCCTCAAAAAAAAAAAAAAAAAAAAAAAAAAAAAAAAAAAGAATGGAGACACCAATGACAGAAAGACAGAGTTGGAGGGTTTGGGTTGTAAGTAGGGCAAAGAGGAAAGAGGGCCTCTCTTCTTTGCTGCTGCTAAGTCACGAGATTGGGCACTTTATCCTCTGTCCCCTAGTTCCCTACAATGGAGTCCAATTCCTCTGATTCTGTCATGCATCCCTTTTCAGCATAAGATCATCAGTGCCAGTGCAGCGGGGACCACCATCCATATGCCAGTGCTCTGTACATTTCTCCATAAGGACCCTGTGCCTGGAGCCAGCTAACAGCACATGGCCCCACTGCTCTCCCAACCAGGAACAAGGGACGTATTTTTCCAACTAGATTCTGGCAACCTTTAGTTTTGACTTCTCCACAGACACACGCCCTCCTGCATCTCACTGCTGTCTCTCAACACATATTCCAGAAGTGGGGAAGAGGAGGCAATTTGGACACTGTCAAACGGGAGAGGTGGTGTGTGGTGACGGATAGCAGCCCTGGTGGCCTGTCCTGAGTCTGATGGAGAGCCGAGGCAGGGCTCCCATCACAGCTCTTCAGAATCCTATGGGCCTCCTGCGGAGACAGAGGCACAACAGGCACCAAGGGAAGGAGGACTTTCCACATCCACAAGCAGTCTATGCAAACCTACCCAAAGGCCAAGGGAGCTGAGAGGCTGAAGAAAGAGACGGTGGCTCACGCCTGTAATCCCAGCACTTTGGGAGGCCAAGGCTGGCAGATCACCTGAAGTCAGGAGTTCAAGACCAGCCTGGCCAACATGGTGAAACTCCATCTCTACTAAAAATACAAAAGTAGCCAGGTGTGGTGGTGTGCTCCTGTAGTCCCAGCTACTCGGGAGGCAGAAGAATCACTTGAACCCAGGAGGCAGAGGTGGCAGTGAGCTGAGAGAGTGCCACCACTACACTCCAACCTGGG
This sequence comes from Homo sapiens, assembly GCF_000001405.40. Classification (NCBI taxonomy): domain Eukaryota; kingdom Metazoa; phylum Chordata; class Mammalia; order Primates; family Hominidae; genus Homo; species Homo sapiens. The sequence goes on along the minus strand of NC_000017.11, from coordinate 8,278,501 downwards.
TGACAGAGCAAGACTCCATCTCAAAAAAGAAAAAAAAAAAAAAAAGAGGGAGACTGATTGATGTATCCAGTTTCTCAGAAAGAAACATTTAATAGCAACTTAGAAACAGAAGCCAGGCAGCCGTCAGTCAGTTATCCCCGAGTCCCAGGGCTGATATACCTGATGCAAAAGGTACACATGCCTCAGTAGAAATGTGTGGCACCACTGAAGTCAACCCCTCAGGGAAAGGCGCAGAATGCTATGTGAATCTACCTAAGAGCAGGATTTAAGGTCACAGTAGATAAAGTGGCAATCTTAGAGGAGGCATTCCAGAACAGGGGTTAACCAGAGGACAACATGGCGGATCAGCATCCAAGATGGAGCAGCTTCATCCTCCACGACAATCCAGGCTGGGATCTCTGTGTCTGAAACCCAGTGGAACTGCCCCTTGTTTCCGCCCTTGGAACCTCTTAGAAGGTGCCATCCCTCTTAAGAGTCCATGTGGTCCCAGCTTCCAAAGCACCACATAATTTAGCTCTTTTCTTTCTTTTTTTTTTTTTTTGAGACACATAATTGAGCTTTTTTCTTTTTTTTTTCACTCTTGTTGCTCAGGCTGGAATGCAATGGCTCCATCTCGGCTCACCACAACCTCTGCCTCCTGGGTTCAAGTGATTCTCCTGCCTCAGCCTTTCTGAGTAGCTGGGATTACAAGCATGTGCCACCATGCCCGGATAATTTTGTGTTTTTAGTAGAGACGAGGTTTCTCCATGTTGGTCAGGCTGGTTTCAAACTCCCGACCTCCTTCCTCGGCCTCCCAAAGTGCTGGGATTACAGGCCTGAGCCACTGTACCCAGCCTAATTTAGCTCTTTCCATCTGCTTGATTTAGCCAAGGCCACTTCCCTGTAACTTTCCACAGGTGAGATGTTTGGGAGTGGGGAGGGCCGTTGTACTGCGTTTGGCAATGATCTAGGGGAGAGGAGTTGTGGTGAACAGGCCTGCTTCCTAATCTCTCTTGTTGCCTTGGATCGCCGGGCAGTGGGAAGCCGCTCAACTGGTTAGACTGTTGGGTTAGTCGTGGCCATTCCTTCTCAGCTTCCTCTTTTTCTGTCAACCCCTTCAATGTTGGGCTACCAGGCCCTGCACACTCCCCCTAGATAACCTTACCCATCCACATACCAGTGCTTCCCAAATATTCATCTCCATCCCAGATCTCTTCTGACCACCTCCTGGATGCCTCCACCTACATGTCTCATTGACATTTCAAACTGAACACATCGTAAGCAAAGCACATCATCTTCCTCCCAGACATGTCCCTATCACAGGTAATGACACTATCTACCCAGTGGTTCAAGCAAGAAGCATGGGCATCATCACTGGCTCCTCTCTCCCCACCCCTCTTCCCCAACACCCAGTTCGTGGTGATTCCTCCCCCCACCCCCACCCCTGAGACAGAGTCTCGCTCTGTGGCCCAAGCTGGAGTGCAGTGGTGTGATCTCAGCTCACTGCAACCTCTGGCTCCTAGGTTCAAGCAATTCTCCTGCCTCAGCCTCCTGAGCAGCTGGGATTACAGACGTGCACCACCACACCCCGCTAATTTTTATATTTTTAGTAGAGATGGAGTTTCGCCATGTTAGCCGGGCTCGTCTCGAACTCCTGACCTTGTGATCTGCCCGCCTCAGCCTCCCAAAGTGCTGGGATTACAGGCGTGAGCCACCGCACCTGGCCATTCATGGTGATTCTATCTCCTAATAGCCCTGGAATCCTTCCACTTCTCGCCATTTCCACTGCCACTACGGTAGTCCGAGCTAGCACTGTTTCTGCCTGGAGACTGTGTAGCTTTCTCTGTGGACTCCCATGTCCTCTCCTGCCTCCCTCCTCTCAGAGTGATTTCTCAAAAATGCAGACCCCCTCATGTCTATCTATCTGCTGTATAAACCCCTCCAAATGGCTTCCGTTGCTCTTAGAATCAAGTCCAGATTCCTGTTCTGTTAGGCCTTCGATTTTGCCTGTCCTGTTTCCCAGTTATATTATACTTGATGTTCCAGACAGACTCACTCACCTTTGTTTAGCTCTTTACCATGTCTCTTGCCTCTGAGGCTTTGCAAATATTGTTGTTTTTCTAGAGTGCCACTCACCTTCATGTAACAAACTGCTACTCATCCTTCAGGTCTCAGCTCACTCCGAGAATCCTTCCCTGATCCCAAAAGTCTGGGCCACATCCCCTGCTATGAGCTCCACGGCACCCTGAGCTTCCCCTAAAAGTCACTGGATTGAAATCACTTGTTCCAAGTCTATCTCCCTCATGTGTGTCCCTCAGGAGGAGGCCCTTGACAATGTTGTTCCCTGAGTGACAGTATGGGCAGGGCTGTTTCACAGTGTTCTGTCTCATTCTGTAGTCGCAGGCTGCCCCTCCAGCCTGACCAGGCAGAGGGAGCTGCACAAAGCCCTTCCTGCTTGGGGGAGGATGGCCCAATGTCGCAGGCATTCCTAGTGGGCTGCTCACACGGAAAGGTTTCCTGAAGCCCCACAAGATGCCAAGACCCAGGCTCCACTGCAGCAGGCCTCCGGTCTCTACCATCTGGCTGTTTGCCACCCCCAAGTGTCCAGTGACAGAAGGTTTGTTTGGTTTCCACCACCACAGGGTCTTACATACAGCAGGTGCTGGGAGCACACTGCTAGCCAGGCCCCAGGATACTGACCACCCAGCTGCCGTGGGAGACATTCCTTCACCAGGCTCACCACTGACTGATGCCCACCCCTCTTCTTTCCAGTCTTTCTCCATTATCTATGTTCTAGTTTGAGCAGTGTCCCAGACACAGTTCAGAACGAAGTCCCTTGGTGGGCTGGCCTGTTGGAGAGCAGAGGGTGCCCTGGCGGGAAGCCTCTCTAAAACAGATGGCCCCTACCAGGTGGTCCCATCTGGATGCTCTCACTCACACTCCTTTTCTGTGCTTAGCCCCTGCCTGCTGCCTCCCCAGCCAGTAGTGCTCCTTCTAGCAACTGAGGATGACAGTAATGTGTGCTTAGTTCAGTGATGTGTCTTTTTCTGTGCAACTGAAGGGCCCTGTTGGCTGCCAGGCAAATGTTAAACTAAGCGGGAAAAAAAAAAAAGAAAAGAAAAAATGTTAAACCAAGCAAGAAAAGAGGCCGGGCCCGGTGGCTCACACCTGTAATCTCAGCACTTTGGGAGGCCGAGGCGGGTGGATCACAAGGTCAAGAGATGGAAACCATCCTGGCCAACATGGTGAAACCCCGTCTCTACTAAAAATACAAAAATTTGCCAGGCGTGGTGGCCTGCGCCTGTAGTCCCAGCTACTTGGGAGGCTGAGGCAGGAGAATTGCTTGAACCTGAGGGACGGAGGTTGCAGTGAGCCTAGATCGCGCCACTGCATTCCACCCTGGGCAGCTGAGTGAGACTCCATCTCAAGAAAGAAAAGAGACTTACTGGTTCTCCCTGTCTTTCCACTTACACAGGGCCAGTCCCCTTCATTTGACCTGATAACAAGAACTCGTGACTTTAACTGGACAAATGAGGTAAAAAGGGGAAATGCTTGAGAGGGTGTACAAAGTCCAAGCACCCATGAACCCAATCCACTAATTCACTTTTGTATTAAGAGAAAAAAATGTATGTCAATACTTACTAATTTTAACATTCATATGTATTAATTTGTTCAGCATATATTTATTGAGCACCTACTAGGTGCCGGGCACTGTGCTAGGTATTAGGACACGGTGGGGAGCAAAAATGGGTCTCCTATCCATGGAACTTACACACTAACAGGGAGACAGATCTTTGATCAAAGAAACAATTCAGGCCGGGCACAGTAGCTCACGCCCGTAATCCCAGCACTTTGGGAGGCCGAGGCGGGCAGATCAAGAGGTCAGGAGTTCAAGACCATCCTGATCAACATGGCGAAACTGTCTCTACTAAAAATATAAAAATTATCGCGCCACTGCACTCCAGCTTGGGCGACAGAGACTCCCTCTCAAAAATAATAAAATAAAATAAAATAAATAAAAATATAAAAATTAGCCAGACATGGTGGCACGTGTCTGTAGTCCCAGCTACTCGGGAGGCTGAGGCAGGAGAATTGCTTGAACCCGGGAGGTGGAGGTTGTGGTGAGCTGAGATCACGCTAGTGCACTACAGCCTGGGCAACAGAGGTAGACTCCATCTCTAAACAAAAACAGTTCACAGTTCATTGATTGCAATGGTGAAAAATAAAGTACAACAGAGACTTGGGCTGAAAAGGGAGGTATGTGGTGCTACTGAAATAACCTCTCACAAAGGATTTGAGCAGCGCTATTGACCCAGCTGAAACCCAAAGGAAGGACTTGATCACTAGGTGTGTATGTTGTTGTAAATTGTTTTTGCTTTTAGACCTCAGGTTTAGAGAACTAAGGTCATCATGACCCTGGGTTCATGGCACATTGTATCATCAAAGGCCCACTTGGGCACTTTCTTATTAACCTTTCATCTCCATTTTTCCTTCCCATTCCCTGTTTCCCCATACGTGGTTAATGATGAACTTATGAGAGAACCTGTTCTGTCTGGCTTTCTCAGAGAAAGCAGGTAGGTTGGGAGTTTGCCAAATGGGTATGATGAAAAGGTCATAGCTCAAGTGAAGGGGTTTTGGAAAGGCTGTTACTGGAAGCTGGATAAGGAGGGAAGAAAAGGAGCAATGGATTGGGGTAAAGTAATTATTGCACTGGAGGTCCTAATTACTTTGAAATCTCAGAGTATTGTGGATAAAGAAGAAAGATGGAAGGAAAGGGCCAGGCATGGTGGCTTATGCCTGTCATCCCAGCACTTTGGGAGGCCAAGGTGGGTAGATCACTTGAGGTCAGGAGTTTGAGACCATCCTGGCCAACATGGTGAAACCCCATCTCTACTAAAAATACAAAAACTAGCCAGGTATGGTGGCACATGCCTGTAATCCCAGCTACTTGGGAGGCTGAGGCAGGAGAATCGCTTGAACCCAGGAGGTGGAGGTTGCAGTGAGCTGAGATCGCACCACTGCCCTCCAGTCTGGGCGACAGAGTGAGACTCCATCTCAAAAAGAAAAAAAGTTGGAAGGAAACAGGACACCTGCATAAATAAGTTTGGAGATAGAGCCTTATGGTTGGAAACAGGACGCCTGAATAAATAAGTTTGGAGATAGAGCCGATCCTGGGTGATAAAATCCAAGTGGGATAGTTAGCTGAGGTGGAATGAAGGTCACTGTAGAAAAGTTCAGAGTGTTGGATGGTCACTGACATGGATACAGGATAACAGAAGGGGCTGAAGTGAAGCACAAGACAGGGAACCAGGGCCTAATACCCTTAAAGAATGAGAGCGAGTTAGGAGTGGTTGAATAGGGTAAGGTTTAGTTACAAGGGATGGAAAACACCAAAATTAATAGTGCTTAAACAAGATAGGCTGGCGCTTTGGTTTATGCCTATAATCCCAGCACTGTGGGAGATGGAGGCAGGCAGATCACTTCAGGTCAGGAGTTCAAGAACAGCCTGGCCAACATGGCGAAACCCCGTCTCTACTAAAAATACAAAAATTAGCTGGGCATGGTGGCACGTGCCTGTAATCCCAGCTACTCAGAAGGCTGGGGTGGGAGGATCGCTTAAACCCAGGAGGCAGAGGTTGCAGCAAGCGGAGATCACACCACTGTACTCCAGTATTCCAGCCCGGGAGACAGAGCGAGAGACTCTGTCTCAATGAAAAACAAAAGCAAAAACCAAGACACAAGTTCATTTCCTACACTCAAGACATTCAGTGTTATCTTGTCCTCATGGCACTCCTCAGTGTTGGAAGAACCAGTCTCCTTTGATCTTTTTTTCTTTTTTGAGACAGGATCTGGCTCTGTTGCCCAGGCTGGAGTGCAGTGGTATGATCACAGTTCACTGCAGCCTCAACCACCTGGGCTCAAGTGATCCTCCCACCTTAGCCTCCCAAGTAGATAAGAGGAAGAGCCTTCCTCTTATCTTGTTGCTCTGCATGGTACCAATTCCCAAAGCTACTTCAGTATGGCTACTGAACTTCCAGCTGTCGTGTCTGCATTCCAAACAATAGGAAGCAAGAATGGATAAAGGGGAAAATGTACCCTTCTTGTAAGAACACTTGCAAATTGTATACATCATTTTCTCTACCATTGGCCACAATTTAATCATAACTGGGAGGGAAGCTGGGAGATGTCATCTTTATTTTCAGCAGCCACAACCCCAGCTAAAATACTGGAACATTCTATTTCTTTTTTTTTTTTTTGAGACACAGTCTCACTCTGTCGCCCAGGCTGGAGTGCAGTGGCGCAACGTCCGCTCACTGCAAGCTCCGCCTCCCGGGTTCACGCCATTCTCCTGCCTCAGCCTCCCGAGTAGCTGGGACTACAGGCGCCCGCCACCTCGCCTGGCTAATTTTTTTTGTACTTTTAGTAGAGACGGGGTTTCACTGTGTTAGCCAAGATGGTCTCGATCTCCTGACCTCATGATCTGCCCACCTCGGCCTCCCAAAGTGCTGGGATTACAGGTGTGAGCCACCACGCCCGGCCCTGGAACATTCTATTTCTTTCTTTCTTTTTCTTTTTTTTTTTTTTTTTGGGACAGACTCTGTTGCCCAGGCTGAAGTGCAGTGGCGTGATCTCGGCTCACTGCAACCTCCGCCTCCTGGGTTCAAGCGATTCTTCTGCCTCAGCCTCCCGAGAAGCTGGGATTATTGGCACACACCACCACACCCAGCTAATTTTTGTATTTTTAGTAGAGACGGGGTTCACCATGTTGGCCAGGCTGGTCTCAAACTCAGGTGATCTACCAGCCTTGGCCTCCCAAAGTGTTGGAATTACAGGCATGAGCCACCGCACCTGGCAGGAACATTGTATTTCTAGAGAGGAATCAACTATTGAAGAATTGGCACCTTCTCCCAAAGGAAGCGCTGGGGAAGTCAGTAGAACACAAAGAACTGGATGAAAGGGATGTAGTAGAATGGCATGAGCCTGCAACGGGCAGGGTTTTCTTTGAACTGGGTGAACAGTCTGGCAGTGGTACGAGGACCCCGACTCCCCAGCCTGGGGAAGATGAGATATGTGAGGTTGAGGTTTGAGAAGAAAAGCCACCACTTGGAGGGGCTGCAGAAGTGGCTCTCAGAGGATAGCTGGTTTTCCATGAAGGCAAGGAGGGAGCAGAGAGCTAGCCTGGAAGGTTCACCAGAGGGCCCTTGGGAGTGGGTGAGTGGGAATGGAGCTGGGTGGGGGTCAGCAAGGACAGGGTTATTTGGTTACTGGATGAAAACACGGATGAAAAGCCAGTGGACTTGGTCTTGATAGTGTCTGAGGAGGGTGGGTCTTACTTGGCCACTGCGACCCAAACCAGAAACTGCTCCCCCTTCAAAATCCACGAGTTTACTTATCACAGCCAACCAGGTTACCTCCCATGCCATCCTTTGACTTTTGCATCAAGCACTTAATAAACTTAATATCTAACCCTTGGTACCAGCCCCCAAATTGTATGTTCGATACTATAAATTTGAAAGACATACATATATCCTTTCCAAGGGTCAGGAAAGAACATTCAAATGTCAAAAATGATCCGGAGGAGTCCCATACTGCTCAGGGTAGGTCGCTTTGCAAAGCAATGAGAAAAATCTCTGAAATAGTTGTTTTCCCCATAGCCATCATTTAACATTGTTTCATTATTATCAGTTTTTTCTCAGGGTGGCTACTCTACCAGGAGCACACAGAAGTGCTCAGCGCCCCCACCCAGCTCTCCTAGCCCTCAGGGATCTGGGATTATAGTCTCCATTCTCAGGCAAACTCCTTTTATCAAGATGTTGAACATTCTAGGGAGCCAACTGACTTGAGGTGTACAACAGAACAGTCATGAGGAAGGGACCTCTATCCACAGTCCTGTGAGCAAAGGAAGCAACAGACAGCTGCCAGCACAAAGTCTCAACACACTGCCTCCAGGAAGTAAGACTGCAGGATGGCGGGAAGCAGATGTAGTATGGGTGCGCCCAGCCCCCCTCACCATCTGTGGACCCCAGGCAATGCAGTCAACCTTCATTCATCCTTTATTGAAAAGGCGGGGAGGGGCTATCAAGTCCTTTGCTGAATTTTAGTGAGAATTAATTCAGATACATACCAAATGCCTCACACATGCGTGGCTTGAGCTAAGTGTTATACACAGCTATTATTTTTAATTCTATTACACATAAACTCCCTGAGGCCGGTGACAGTGCTTTGCAATAATAACTAATCAACAACAGTCAATGCAGTAAGTGAAGAGTAGAATTCCAGCATACTAAAGGGTTAGGATCTAGGGATGAGAGCCCCAACCACCTCTATCAGAAACAGAGCTGCTGGGCCAGCTGTAGTGGCTCCCACCTGTAATCCCAGCACTTTGGGAGGCCGAGGCAGGCGAATCACTTGAGGTTAGGAGTTTGAGACCAGCCTGGGAGACATGGTGAAACCCTATCTCTACTAAAAATACAAAAATTAGCTGGGTGTGGTGGTGTGTGCCTGTACTCCCAGCTACTCGGGAGGCTGAGGCAGGAAAATTGCTTGAACCCAGGAGGCAGAGGTTGCAGTGGGCCGAGATCACGCCATTGTACTCCAGCCTGGGTGACAGAGTGAGACTGCCTCAAAAAAAAAAAAAAAAAGAGAGCTGCTAATTTAGAAGCAAATAACAGGAATGCTGGGTTCTGAGGCCAGCCCTAAGACAGCCAGAAACGCTGAGAAACTTCCACAAGCAACAATTCCTTACATTCAGTGCAGTGTAGCACTTCAAGAGAAATCCAGAAAGTTTCAGTTCCAGATGAGAACAATGAGGTGGTGAGGGGCTGATCTGCATACTATTGCTGAATTTGTCTGCACCCGCTAACCCCAATGATGAGAAAAGGGAGCGCAAAACATCCCTCAGAGCCAAGGAGGCAATTGCACACCGGTGATCACTGGGTGTTGTGAAGTGGGCAACAGAAGCCCCTGTTCGGACCTCAGGAGTCCTAACTTTTCCTTGTCGCTCTTTTCTCTGAACCACATGCTGTTTCCTGGGCTGAGAAAGGGCATGCCATGTTAGAGCAGAACTGAAAATAGACACAGCCACAGAAGGAACATCAGCAGGCAGATTATCGAGTCCGCTGAGATTTTGGCATTTTGGTCCTTGTCTGTCCAAGATATTTTTGGAAATAATATGGGGTGCTCCTGAAGGTCATGGGGGAGGGGGCAGGACCCACTTAGGTGAAAAGCCATGGGGCCCAGGTGAGCCCCTGTGGCCAGTCAGCAGCTCCCTTCCAGGGTCCAGTTTCGGGCATTGATAAAGAGCTGGAGCCAGGGGGAGGTGGTCAGAGTATCAAATGGAGGGGGTCGCCATGCCCACTGCCAAGGCCTAACGGCCCGCTCAGGGTGAGGCATGACAGCCAGGTGGCGGCCATCACAGGAGCAGATGCCAGCCACGCCCCCTGGGGACCCATTGGGATTCAGAGGGTACTGCTCTGTGGGGTTCCCGTCATCATCAGCCCAGTGCAGTGGAGCCAAGCCCCTGGCCTCAATCTGAGCTTGGAGTTCCGGAGAAGAAAATGCTACGTAACCTGGGATGGAAGGAGGAGGGAAGTGAGAGCCAAGGTCCTTCATGCCCACCCTTGCCCCCAACCCTCGGGCCCTCCCCCAGCCTTCCTTGGGCCTGACCTTCCCCGTGCGCACTCCACACGGGCAGCACGGCGCCCTCCATCCCTCGCAGCATCAGGGCTGGCCCAGGCCCCACACGCACGCTGGCCCAGCGAGACTCGTAGCGCCCAGACAGGTTGTGGCGTAGCAGAAGGCCTGGCCGGGCTGGCTGGGAGTCAGGGCCCATCTCTGCAGCATCCTCATTGGGGTCGCCTCCCACCCAGCCGAGCAGAGCCAGCAGTTGACAGCCATTACACACGCCCAGGCTGAAGGTGTCTGGCCGCTTCCGGAAGCGCCTCAGCTCAGCCCCAGCCCTGGGATGAAAGGTCACAGCAGCTGCCCACCCTAGCAGGGAATAGGGAAGTCAGGGTGAGACATGGAGGACCTCAAAAAAGGGAATTGGGAATGAAGGGGCATAACTGCTCTGTTTCTTTTCTTTTTTCTTTCTTCCTTTTCCCTCCCTCCCTCCTTCCTTCCTTTCCTTCTTTCTTTTTTTTTTTTTTTTGAGATGGAATCTCATTCTGTCACCCAGGCTGGAGTACAGTGGCATGATCTCGGCTCACTACAACCTCTGCCTCCTGGGTTCAAGCGATTCTCCTGCCTCAGCCTCCCAAGTAGCTGGGATTACAGGCGCCCGCCAGCACGCCTGGCTAATTTTTGTATTTTTGCATGCCTGTAATCCCAGCTACTTGGGAGGATGAGGCAGGAAAATCGCTTGAACCCAGGAGGTGGAGGTTGCGGTGAGCCAAGATTGCGCCATTGCACTCCAGCCTGGGCAACAAGGGTGAAACTCCGTCTCAAAAAATACATATATATATATATATATATTTAAAAATATACATATTTTAATAATATATAAATAATATATATAAATAATATATTTTAATAATATATAAATAATATATATAAATAATATATATTTTAATAATATATAAATAATATACATTTTAATAATATATAAATAATATATATAAATAATATATATTTAATAATATATATTTTAATTACATATGTGTATATATATACTTTTTTTCAATGAAAAAATTAAAAATTTACTACCAGCCTTCTGTTGGCATGTGGCCCAGAACGAATGGGCCCACTCTCTCGTAGCTCGGTGGAGTGAGAGGCCAATCCCCAGCCCAGGAAGATGGGGCTAAAGGCACCTCTTCAGGAATGTGGGGGAAGGGAGTGGGCAGAAGCCTGCACACTGACCTTTGGCAGAGCCCAGGACATCTGCATAGCTGAAGCCGCCCACGAAGGCCACGCCACGGAAAGTGTCCAGCCCAATTGCCCCAGAGCAGAGGTCCTGCATGGTCACGTCCCATACCTGCGAAGGTGGGGAGGGGGAGTGTGGGTGGGAGGACACGCAGCTGAGGCTGGACAATCACCCCCAGCTGCCCCCTACCCTGCTCACCTCAAACCCAGCTAAGTGGAAGGCATCGGCCATCTCCCGGTCTCCATTACTGCCCTCCTCTCGCAAGATGGCGACTCGGGGGCTGGGACCACCTTGGGGGAGAATAAGTGTCTTTGGGCCAGAAAGTCACTTCCCCACCCCAACTCCCCAGACACCTTTCTGAGGGCAGGCCCAGGCATCCAGGCTCAGTGCCCCCAGGACGCGGAGCCTCTGCACACACTCCCTCACCAGGCTCACGGGGCACGGAGGCTTTGGGAAAGGTGGGGGGCAGGCAATAGCTGGGCCCCATCCGCTCCCTCAGGCCCCGTTCCTCCTCTGCCACACAGCGAGGCTCTGCCTGTAGCCGGTCCAGCTGGAAACTCGTCTCCTCCCAGAGGGCTCGCAGCTCCCCAACAGGCTCCTCCAGAACCACAGCCCCGTTCACTGACACCCGGACCTAGGAAGAGGAACAAATCTCCCACGGGCTAGGAGAAAGGATGGCCCCCTCCACAGTGGGAGAGGGATGGACCGCGGCCACCCCACTCTGACTGCCCACTGCACACCGCTCTCTCCCTCACTTCCTCACCATGGCGTGGGGCCCGGCCTCGCCTGTGTGGCCCAGCTCCAGGCAATGGAGGCCAGCATCCCGGTAACGCTTCAGCACCTGGGCCAGGTCTGGCTCCTGCACCTCCAGCACGAGGCCTGGCTCCTCAGCGAACAGCACAGACAGGACTGGGAGAGCAATGTGGGGAGTCAGGGGGATGCAAGAAGGGCCAAGGGAGTTGGGGCGGGATCAGGGAAATGCAGGAAGGGCCAGGGTGAGGGTCAGAGGGATGCAGCCAGAGAGTAGGGTAGGGATCAGGGAGGATGAGGGCTAGGACGGCAGGACTGAGGATGTTTCATCATGGACATCTCAGGGATGGGAAGTCTCAGAGGGGTGCAGTCAGGAACATGGTGGGTGTCAGCCAGTTCCATCCAGTTCAGCTGTCAGAGAGACAGCACAGAAAAGCTAGTCAGGGAAGACTCAGGGAAAGGGGACTGGAGGGCACTCCACTCTTTAATATATTGGAAATGGGGTCTGCAGGGTAGAGAAGGCAGCCCGGGCCTGAGACTAGACCCCAGGTTCCTTACCATCAACCCTGGGGACAGGCACATCCACCTGTAGCCCGCAATTTCCAGCAAAGGCCATCTCCAGCAGGCATGTGACGAGGCCTCCGTCACTGACATCGTGGCCTGAGCAGAGGAGGCGGTCTGGAGGAAGGAGAAGAAAGCTCAGCAACCTCGGGACCCAAACCTGACAGCCCCACCCCACCTTCCGGAGTCAGTCCATCAAGAGTGTGTGTCAGAATGTCAGGGGATCTGGGGTACATCGTCCATTGGAGTCCCTTTTGCCCCACTGCTCAGATGGTGAACGCCTGCTGCACGCCTGGCACCCTGTGCGCTATCTCCCCAGGGGTCTTCACTCACCTTTCAGCAGCCCCTGAGTGATGCTGAAGGCCCGCACCAAGTTCTCAGGAAGGTCCAGGTCTGGAGGGTGTTCCCCAAGCTGGGAGAAGCACTGGGCCAGAGCTGTGCCCCCGAGCCGGTGCTGCCCAGGGCTCAGAGCCACATAGAGCAGATGGCCTGGGGAGACGGGGAGGGGTGAGGGGAGGGGAACAGCTCAGGAGGACCCATCCCTGAGGGGCTCACAGCACTGCTATTCCCAGCATGTGGTGAGACACCTAGACAATCAGTCCCAGAAAACACCACAGCCCAGTGTTGAGATGGGGGCCCAGCACTCACAAAGCAGGAGCCAAACAAAGATCACACAAGCAAAGATCACAAAGGATGGGGCCATGTCCATACCTCTCCCTTCAGGATGCTTGAGGTCTGGGGTCACAGTGGCTGTGATGTCTGGGCAGACGGCATAGGCTGAGATGACCAGTGACCCTGTAGAGCAAGGAGGAGTCCAAAGGAATGAGTTGCCAACCCAGCTCCATAGTTCCTCCTCCCCTCCCTGGGGCTCCCACACCTCACCAGGAGCCCGCACGGTCTCAGTGCCAACCCGAGCAGCCATGCTGAGGGAGTCCTTGCCACCATCCACTGCCACACCCAGGGCTGCCATCACTGCCACCATAGCCTCACAGGCATCCGCCAAAGCTGCGCCCTCCCCTGGGAGCTTGGCTGCCCACATCCAGTTCCCGCTACACTTCACATCCTGGGGGTGGCAGAGGCACAGCATTAGAGGGGAAGAGAAATGTGGAGAGGCCAGGGGTGCAGGCGGACTGGGAGGTTGCAACATGAAATGAAGGGCTACAGATGGATGTGGAAGGGTCCTGAAGCCCGGGGGCTCCAGGATAGAAGCTGTGGGAGAACTCACCCGGAGGTCAGTGACCAGAGCAAACACCAGGTTGGTGAGGGCTTCGGCCACGGCCAGCCGGGCGGCGACTTTTGGGTCCAGCAGGCTCTTGACTGGCTGTTCTCCCAAGGCTGTGGCAGCCCCTATGAGCTCCTCATGGCTCAGTGCCACAACCGCTACATCTGCCAGAGGAGTTTGCAGGGGCCCCACGCACTGCTGCTGGGCCACCAGGCCTCCCACAGAGCGGTCCACCTGTGGAACCAGGTGGGGTTAGCAAGAGAGCAAGGGACAGGGACAGCCTGAGCTCCCGCACATGCCCCCAAGGCACTCAGGGCAGTGGGAGGCCTGTCTTTCCCCCAATGCAGACAACAGCTCTACTTAGAAGGTGGGTAGCAGGGAGACCAGGCCATCAGGGTGGCTGCCCTGCCCCTGCTGCTTCCTGCAGGGCCAGGCAAAAACCCCCACAGCACTTTCTAAGGGTGGGAGGGCAGAAGAGGCTGAGCGGAGGAAGGAGGCAGGGGGCAGAGGAAGGGTGCAGGGAGGACCTTATTGGTGAGGTAGCGCTTGCTGGCCACGGCGGGCAGCCTCAGAACCCTCTCCAGAGCCTGGTGCACGCTCAGCCCTGGGGGCAAGGCCAGAGGCTGCAGCATGGGGGGCTTCCTCTGCAGGAAGAACTCCTGCAACACAGACAGCGACAGGCAGTGTGAACACCTGGGGCGGGCTGGGCACACAGGCGACAAAGTGCACGTAGGGTAAAGGGTGGTGTGGAGAGGACCACAGGAAAAACCCATCCCCTCAACCCCACATACCTTCCGAGGCATCTTGCCCAGCACCCATTCGAGCTCCAGGTCCACAGGGGTTGGCAGGGGTGTCGGGGGGGCATCCCCCTGGCCATTTCTTCTGACAGGACACTCCCGATCGTCCACCAGCACTATCTATAGACCACAGGGACCCCACCCAGAGGGGATGAGACTATGAACACCAGCAAGGAATGTTCCTAGAAATCAGGGCACAAATGTGCTTTCCACTCCTTGTTTGGTTTCCATATTGAGTCCCTGCCCCTCCTTGGATCCAACATTCCCCACAGCTTGTTTGCCACTACCTCCCATCTTCCTCTCGTCTCTCTCCCTTGACAGCTCTCCCTCTAGCCCATACCCAGGTGGCTCATGTCTGCCCCAGTGTTTGCTCCCAACTCCCTGGGCCAACTCACTCTCCGGTCTCCAGTGATGGTGCCCACGAAGCAAGCCGGGCAACGTTCACGGGCACTGACATGAGTCAGGAAGTCCCGGTTGGGGGACCTCAGCAGAAGAGCATTTGATTCCTGGTACTCAGCCCCCCAGATTTCCAGGGCATTCAGGGTTGGGTCCCCAAGCTGCACAGCCACGGCGGGGAGGAAAGAGAAGGGCCAGTGGGCACTCCCACGTCTCATGTTGTTGCAAGAGAGATGGGTGGAAGCGGGCTGGGGCTGGCAGGGGTGGGAAAATGTCACACTTCAGGGGACGAGACCCACCTGGAAGCGGCTGGTGTAAATGATGGCTCCAGCTGGGTCACTCAGCTCTTTTAGGACATTGCCTGGTGAGAGGGTTGCAAGGAGAAGCAGTGACCTAGTGGTGGTCAGGCAACAAAGGGCAGTCCCTGGCCTCCAAAGGGGCCTGTAATTTGGTGTGTTCCTGTGTCAACTGCTGCCGCACCCTTACCACCAATCATCCCACGGCAGCAGGCTTCCACCCTTCCAACCCTGAACCTGTCTAGAATGTACAGAGCATGGAGAATGGGACCCAGAGCTGGGTGGTTGGTTGGAGATTCCTGATACCTCTCCCTAAACGAAACCTGGCAGGATACCAGGCAGGCCCAGTCTCTTGTTCCAACTCCTTTCCTCACCATTGCCACCAGCGCCCTGATCATGAAGGCTGCAGATGGGGTTTCCCTTGGGGGCCTCCACACAAGCCCTGATCACACGGTTCATCTTCTGTTCCATCTCCGGGTCTCCTCGCTGCACAGCCCCAAAGTCCAGGTCACTGGTGTTATCTCCCTGCACCTGGGGGCATATATGGCATAGCTCAGCTCAGCGAGACTGGAAGCTCCTATACGCTCCCCTATGCCTGGGGCCCGGTTATATCAAGGATTCTGCACCTTTAGCAATTCCCACTCACCTGCACAGATGAAGCAGCTCCACCTCCAACTCCAATCCTGTAGACGGGACCTCCAACCTTTACAACTTCCATGCCTGTAAGAAGGGAAGGCAGAATCAGAACACTGGGGAAGCCACGAGAAGAGGCCTCGAAAGCAAGGCAGCGTGAACACAGAGGAAGCTGATGTTAGGGAGAAGCCTGACCAGCTTTTTTTTTTTTGAGATGGAGTCTCGCTCTGTTGTCCAGGCTGAAGTACAGTGGTGTGATCTCAGCTCACTGCAACCTCCGTCTCCTGGGTTCAAGCGATATTCCTGCCTCAGCCTCCTGAGTAGCTGGGACTACAGGCGCCTGCTATCGTGCCCGGCTAATTTTTGTATTTTTTCAGTAGAGACAGGGTTTCACCATCTTGGCCAGGCTGGTCTCAAACTCCTGACCTCAGGTGATCCGCCCACCTCGGCCTCCCAAAGTGTTGGGATTACAGTCGTGAGCCACCCTGCCTAGCCCAGAAGCCTTACCACTTGACTGGGTTGATAGGAGAGTAAACTGATATCAACTACGGAGGACGATTTGGCAATAACAACCAAAATGACAAATGCACACAGTCTCTGATTGGGTAAATACACTTTGAGGAAGTCATCCCGCTGATTTATTTGCACAGGTATAAAATCACCTACTTACAAGATTAAACACCACAGTAACGTTTGTATTAGCAAGTACATGAAATAACCTAAAGGCTGACAACAGAGACCTCATTAAGTAAACTATGGTAAGTCTATACAATGAAAGACTAAGCCACCAAAAAAAGAGAATATAGGAATGTAATGAAGTAATATGATTTCATCAATATGAAATTATTTCCAAGATATACTGCTAAGCGAAAAATGAAAAAGGCAAAAATATCTATGTCTATTTACAGTAGCATCAAAAAGAATAAAAATAATTAGGAATAAATTTAACAATAGAAGTAAGGCTTATACACTAAAAACTTTTTTTTTTTTTGAGATGGGGTCTTGCTCGGTTGCCCAGGCTGGAGTGCAGTGATGCAATCTCGGCTCACTGCAACCTCTGGATGCGGAAGGGTCCTGAAGCCTGGGGGCTCCAGGGTAGAAACTGTGGGAGAACTCACCCATACTCCCAGCACTTTGGGAGACTGAGGCGGGCGGATCGCTTGAGCTCAGGAATTCGAGACCAGCCTGGCTAACACAGTGAAATCCAATCTTTACAAAAAATGCAAAAATTAGCCAGGCATGGTGGCCGGAGCTTGTAGTCTCAGCTACTCAGGAGGCTAAGGTGGGAGGATTGCCTGAGCCCGGAAGATGGAGGTTGCAGTGAGCTGAGATCGCACCACTGCACTCCAGCCTGGGTGACAGAGTGAGATCCCATCTCAAAAAAGAAAAAAGAAATAGGAAAGGATCTGAATAGATGTTTCTCTAAGGAAGATATACGCATAGCTAACTAGCATACGAAAACATGCTCGGCCAGGTGCGGTGGCTCACGCCTGTAATCCTAGCACTTTGGGAGGCTGAGGCGGGTGGATTACCTGAGCTCAGGAGTTTGAGACCAGCCTGGGCAACACGGTGAAACCCCATCTCTACTAAAATACAAAAGAAATTAGCTAGGTGTGGTGGCACGTGCCTGTAATCCCAGCTATTTGGGAGGCTGAGGCAGGGGAATTGCTTGAACCCGGGAGGCGGAGGTTGCAGTGAGCTGAGATTGCGCCATTGCACTCCAGCCTGAGTAACAGAGCAAGACTCTGTCTCTACAAAAAAAAAAAAGAAAGAAAGAAAACACGCTCAACATCATTAGTCATTAGAGAAAAACAAACCAAATCCACAATGAAATACTGCTTCATACCCACTATTATGCCTTACAATCAAAAGGACAGATATTAACAAGTGTTGTCAAGCATGTGGAGAAACTGGAACCCTCACACACTGCCAGAGAGAATGTAAAATGGTACAGCTGCTTTGGAAAACAGTTTGGCAATTTTTTGAAAAGCTGAACATAGTTACCACATGACCCAGCAATTCCACCCCTAGTTATATACCTGGGAGAAATTATAACATATGTTCATACAAAAACTTGTACATAGGCCGGGCGCGGTGGCTCACGCCTGTAATCCCAGCACTTTGGGAGGCTGAGGCAGGCGGATCACGAGATCGGGAGATAGAGACCACCCTGGCTAACACGGCAAAACCCCGTCTCTGCTAAAAACACATAAAATTAGCCGGGCGTGGTGGTGGGCACCTGTGGTCCCAGCTACTCGGGAGGCTGAGGCAGGAGAGTGGCGTGAACCCGGGAGGCGGGGCTTGCAGTGAGCCGAGAAAGCGCCATTACGCTCCAGCTTGGGCGACAGAGCGAGACTCCGTCTCAAAAAAACCAAACCAAAACAAAACAAAAAAACTTGTACATAAATGTTCATAGCAGCATTATGCATAATAGCTAAAAAGCTGAAACAACCCCAATGTCCACCAACTAAGGAATGGGTAAACAAAATGCGACATAGCTACATAATGGGATATTATTCAGCCATAAAAAGAAATAAAGTACTGATGCAACGGATAACCCCTGAAAACATTAAGCTAAGTGAAAGAAGGCAGACACAAAAGGCCGCATATTGTATGATTCCATTTTGGTCATGGGCTGACTAATGACATTTTGCTTAACAACAGACCACATATACAACAGTGATCCCTTAAGATTATAATTGTGCTGAAAAATTCCTATTGCCTAGTGGCATCGTGGCACGCTGGTGGGTGATGCTATTGTAAATAAACCTACTATACTGCCAGTCACACAAAAGTATACTGCAAACCATTATTGTATGTATACTACATAATACTTCATAATGACAATAAATGACTATTACTGGTTTATGTATTTACCACACTTAAAAAAAAATTTTTTTTTTTTTGAGACAGAGTCTCACTCTTACGTCCAGACTGGAGTGCAGTGGCGTAAACTTGGCTCACTGCAACCTCCACCTCCCAGGTTCAAGTGATTCTCCTGCCTCAGCCTCCCGAGTAGCTGGGATTATAGGTGCGCGCCACCACACCCAGCTAATATTTGAATTTTTGGCAGAGAGGGGGTTTCACCATGTTGGCCAGGCTGGTCTTGAACTCCTGACCTCAGGTGATCTGCCCACCATGGCCTCCCAAAGTGCTGGGATTACAGGCGTGAGCCACCACACTCAGCCTACATTTATTTTTTATTTTTATTCTTTTTTGGAGACAGGGTTTCACTCTGTCACTCATGCTGGAGTGCAGTGGTATGATCATAGCTCACTACAGCCTTGAGCTCCTTGGCTCAAGCGATCTTCCCACCTAAGCCTCCTGGGTAGCTGGGACTACAGGTGTACACCACCATATCCAGCTAAGTTTTATTTCTTAATTTTTTTAGAGACAGGGGTCTGACTGTATTCCCCAGACTGGTCTCAAACTCCTGGCCTCAAGTAATCCCCCTGCCTTGGCCTCCCAAAGTGCTGGGATTACAGGCGTGAGCCACTGTGCCCAACCAACTATACTTTTTACTGTTATTTTAGAATGTACTCATTCTACTTATATAAAGCAAGTTTATTCTGGCTGGGCACCATGGCTCACACCTGTAATCCCAGTGCTTTGGAAGGCTGAAGCAGGAGAACTGCTTGAGCCCAGGAGCTCAAGGCCACAGTGAGCTAGGACAGAACCACTGTTCTTCAGCCTGGGTGACAAAGTAACACCCTGTCTCTAAAAAGAGAAAAAAAATCTGACTTGAGAAAGAAAATGCAGATTAAAAATAATAATAATTAACAAAAAAGAGAAAAAAAAGTTTACCTAAAAACGGTATGCCATGTTACATTGACAGTAGCTTCATATTATCTCATATTTACCACGTCTTTTTTTTTTTTTTTGACAGTGGTGCGATCGCAGTGGTGCGATCTCCACTCACTGCAACCTCCACCTCCCAGCTTCAAGTGGTTCTTGTGCCTCAGGAGGCTGGGACTATAGGCATGCACCATGACGCCTGGGTAATTTTTTTTTTTTTTTTTTTGAGATGGAGTCTCCATCTGTCGCCCAGGCTGGAGTGCAGTGGTGGGATCTCAGCTCACTGCAAGCTCCACCTCCTGGGTTCACGTCATTCTCCTGCCTCAGCCTCCGAGTAGCTGGGACTACAGGTGCCCGCCACCACACCTGGCTAATTTTTTTATTTTTTTAGTAGAGACGGGGTTTCACCGTGTTAGCCAGGATGGTCTCGATCTCCTGACCTCGTGATCTGCCCACCTCAGCCTCCCAAAGTGTTGGGATTACAGGCATGAGCCACCATGCCCGGCAGATGCCTGGCTAATTTTTGTGTTTTTAGTAGCAACAGGGTTTCAGCATGTTGGTCAGGCTGGTCTTGAACTCCTGATCTCAGGTGATCCACCTGTCTCAGTCTCCCAAAGTGCTGAGATTACAGGTGCGAGCCACCCTGCCTGGCCCACCACGTCTTGATTGCATTATTTTCTCTTGTGCTTATTTTATTCTCATGCTGTTTTGTTCATCATGGCTCCCAAGTGTACAAAATTCCTGGATAATATTGCCAGTAAGAGGCTGTGTGGATCGTGTAGCAGGCTATGCCATCTAGGTTTGTGTATGTACAGTCTATGAAGTGGGCACAATAATGAAATTACCTAATAGCCACATTTCTCAGAATGAGTTGTCCATCATTATGTGACACATAAGATAAGCCAACATATTAAAAACTAACCACTGAAGTGTTCCCTAAGTTCCCTCCCTGTAGCCATCCTGTGCTGGGGAGAAAGCTGGCTGGATCCAGAGAAAGGTGGCAGGCTCTTACCTGGCTCTGGGGCCTCCTTGCTTATGTGGTCAGCTTCCATGGACCCAATGCCCCCACTAAACATGATGGGCTTGATCCACTCACGCCGCTGGCCGTCTGGGAGCTGGAGGCCCAAGGAGCGGGCGAAGCCTGGAGTGTGAACATCAGAGGGACCTGTCACTCAGTTCCCCCAGTGCTCGCCCAATAGCACAGCCCCTGGGTCGCACACCCCACCCACAAGCCCCTCTGGGTGTTTGTCATCCCTCCACACCCCAGCCTCACCAGCCAGCACTGGTTCCCCAAACTTGTTGCCATAGTCAGAAGCTCCATTACTGGCTTCAATGGCAACCTCCAGGGGCCGGGCAAAATTCCCAGGATACTGGAAGCTTGGATCCTCCCAGGGCAGATTGTAACCTGGGAGGGAAGGAGAGAGAACTGGATGAACTGAATGAACTGTGAAGACAGGCCGGAGCAGCCTGCATCCTTCAGGAAGAGTCAAGGCCACCAAGGACCACCTGCATGGTTGCAATGTTCCACTTCAGGAAGTCCTGCTTTAGGAAGCCCTAGAGCCTGCAGTGAGGCACTGGTCTTCTTTCCACCACCCACACCAGCCTTCCCTCTGAATCTCGCAATCAGAGTTACACAGGCTTTCTGTTTTTTTTTTTGAGATGGAGTCTCGCTCTATCACCCAGGCTAGCGTGCAGTGGCGTGATCTTGGCTCACTGAAAGCTCCGCCTCCCGGGTTCACGCCATTCTCTCGCCTCAGCCTCCTGAGTAGCTGGGACTATAGGCGCCCGCCACCACGCCCAGCTAATTTTTTGTATTTTTAGTAGAGACGGGGTTTCACCGTGTTAGCCAGGATGGTTTTGATCTCCTGACCTTGTGATCCGCCCACCTCAGCCTCCCAAAGTGCTGGGATTACAGGCGTGAGCCACCACGCCCAGCCAAGTTTCTCAGGCTAAGAAACCAGATTTGAGGGGCAGGTACTGATCATAAGACCAACCCAATATCATGCTTTCTGGCTGAATGAAGGCTAGTTTTTAAAGAAAATCGTAGACCTGCAAAAGCAGTCTGGCCACCTCATCTCCCCAGGTCTACACTTATGACCATAGTTAGTGAAAGGCCAGCTATCCTAGAGCCCTTCCTCCTGAGAAAAGGCACACAGGATAACCCTATGGACCTAACAGATAGAAGTTTGCTGCCTGCCAGGACAAGGAATCTGGAAGGGAAGGTGGATAGAGAGGAAGGAGATGGAACCTGGAATATGCAGATTTCCAAAGCAATAGCCGGCAGTGCCAGCCACCACGTGGGCCCCGCGGCCTGTGCACTGGACATCTCGAATCCGGCCCCCTGTGCCAGTGGTTGCACCACTAAAGGGGCATACTCCTGCAAAGAGAGAGTGGGGAGAGGTCTGGGTGCCTCAGAGACAAACCCCCATCTCTGACCACCCCCACTGAAAATAAGGACAACCAATTTCCCTGATTATTTTCCCCAGGCCCACTCCAGGGGCCTGGGACCTTTGCCCTACCCTATTCTGTGATCTCACCTATTTCTCCAGGGAACCCAGCTCACCTGTGGGAAAGTTGTGAGTCTCTGCTGTGAAGACAACATGTCTCAGCCCTTGCTGTTGCTGGAAGCGGCTTGGCCGTGTGGGGTCCTCAGGCCGTAGGAATCGGACTTCCTTTCCCTGGATTGCACTGTGGACATACCCGTCATGGACCTTGCTTCCTTTCTGGGACCTACACTAACCCAACCAGGGCCTGGGGCCTCCCCTCCCCGGGTCCTGACGCCAACCCAGTCTAGGGCACAGCACCTGCTGTTATCACAGAATTTGAGGACGTTGTTGGGGTTCGAGGATTCCTGGGTGCTCATGATGGACTCAAACAGTGAGTGCACCAGCTTCTGCCCATCCACGTGGAGCTGGCCCTTGAAGAACCAGTGTCGGCTGTGCTCGCTGCAGGGGGCGATGCAGGGAGGGGAAGGCAGGTGGAAACGGGGTCATTTCTTAATGCCATGTCTTCTCACCAGCATTTAACAGCAGAGTTACAGCCAAATTCATACTTAGATGACAGATCAAAATATATTCCAAAAAGTCATAATCTTCAAGTATTCTGTCATTTTGGACTATCCAGAGCCAAAGTGAAGATAAAACCAAGATTTGAATGTAGACTCCTTGATGGATGACGGGAGCCCAGGCCCTCAGAGACTCAGGGAGGCCCCTAAGCCAAGGGAGGAACATGAAGGTGAGCCCCTGTGGTCTCTCCCAACACCCATGGGCTCAGGTATGGGAACAACCCCATTTCTCCTCACCTATTGGACTGCGCCAAGTCAAAGGCCTCCACAGTGCTCGGGTTCCGCTGTAGCTCCTGGAAGCGCTTGGTGTAGAAGTCTAGGTCCCAAGAGTCTAAAGCCAGACCTAGGAGACAAATCCAGGAAGAGGTGACTATGGAACTCAGGCAGCCACATTCCAGATCTCAGCACCCCTACTGGCCTATCCTGGACCCTACATCTCCCTCCCCAGCTACTCACCAAGCTCCTGGTTGGCCTTCTCCAGCGCAAGCCGGCCCTCACCCAGTATATTGATAGGGCCATTGAGGGGTTCCGGCATGCTCTCAGGGGAGAAACTCTGGATGGGATGGGGGAAGTGCTGCTCTGTCATCCGGTCGTGCAGGGTAGCCAGAGCAATGGCTTCCACCTCAGCTGACGGGGGGTGGGCAAACTAGGGGTGCAGACACACAGAGGGCAAGGGGTGAAGAGTTTAAGAATGGAGAGAAATGGTCCACCTTCCTACCCTCTTAGTCATGCAAGGCTAGCCCACTGCCACACCATATGGCACTTTTTCTCAGATTACAAAAAGACGCCCTTTCCAGGTATGAATCCATGCCAGGATGCACAAATTAAAGGAAGCATAGGCTGGATTTCTGCCCCATTTACCCCTCAACCAGGTACTTTCAGGCAGTGAACAACTTGTACGACCATACAGAGCAGGCCTAAAGCCAGGAGCACCTGTCCCTGCTTCTCTCTAGAGCTTAGGATCTAATCTTGTATCTCTGGCTCATCTCCTCCTCCTGATTCCCCATCACCTCACCGAGAGCCGGTAGCGCCGGGTGGTCTCCACACGATCCACAGGCCCCAGCCCAGTGGCGCGGCACACTGACACGATGTTGGTGGATGTTGGGGTGGAGAAGTTCAGCCTGAACAATGGGCCTGATGGTTAGGACTGGAGAACCCCCGGCAGGCCTCAGCTGGGAGGGTGGATCCTGCCTACTGCTGTCTGGACAACCTCCCACCGCTATCCCCTCACCATTGGCTTTCAGCCTCAGGCTGGGCAACAAGAAACCTGCTTTTAAAGTACACTCAAACCAAACCAAAACTGTCCTCTAGCATCAAAACTATTTGATTTTTTTTTCTTTCTGTGAGGCAGAGTCTTGCTCTGTTGCCCAGGCTAGAGTGCAGTGGCGTGATCTCGGTTCACTGCAACCTCTGCCTCCCGGGTTCACACCATTCTCCTGCCTCAGCCTGCCTAGTAGCTGGGACTACAGGCGCCCGCCACCACACCCGGCTAATTTTTTGTATTTTTAGTAGAGACGAGGCTTCACCGTGTTAGCCAGGATGGTCTCAATCTCCTGATCTCGTGATCTGCCCCACCTCGGCCTCCCAAAGTGCTGGGATTACAGGCGTGAGCCACCGCGCCTGGCCAAAACTGTTTGATTTTAACTTGGAATCTAATTTATTTTGCTTTGAGAACATGTTTTGGAGCAGGCTAGGTCTTTGGAGGGATCTACCCAAATGGGGAAAGCACATGTGTGGTTTCCTAGGCAGGAAGTAGCAAAGAGCAAAGGAAAAGCAAATCTCCCAAGGATCACAAGAGGAAGCAAAGGAAAGCAGAAGAAAGGGGTGGGCAGGATGAGATACTTACCTGGGCCCGACCTCCAGCAGCAGGTCATTGGAGCCAGGAAGGAGCCAGGACTCCCGAGCAACATCATCCAGCAGTAAGGGGCAACCAAACAGCCACATCAGCTTCTTTGTCTCCTCAGCACTGGGGAGGGCCTCAGCTGCAGGGAGACAGGGCAAGGACACCTTGAGACACTGCCCCCAGCACCGAGGCATGTCCCCCAAGAATCTAATACCTGGGCCCAACCTGTCCAGTTCACGTTGTAGCACAGTTCAGTCTCGACGCCCTGCAGCTCTGGCAGTTTCCCTTGCAGTTTCCTCCGAGTGTGTCCAGGGGCTGCCCCCTCATGGCCAGAGGGACGAACATAGAAGTGAAGGACTGGGGACATCTCTGCAGGTGTCCTTTGCTGGAGAGAGGTGTCCTTTGCTGGAGAGATGTGTCCTTTGCTGGAGAGATGAATTAGGTTCCTAAAAAATAACATTAACTAAGCCGGGCGTGGTGGCTCACATCTGTAACCCCAGCACTTTGGGAGACTGAGGCAGGTGGATTGCCTGAGGTCAGGAGTTGGAGATCAGCCCGGCCAACATAGTGAAACCCTGTCTCTACTAAAAATATAAAATTAGCTGGGTGTGGTGGCGGGCGCCTGTAATCACAGTTACTAGGGAGGCTGAGGCAGGAGAACTGCTTGAACCCGGGAGGCAGAGGTTGCAGTGAGCCGAGATCGCGCCATTGCACTCCAGCCTGGGCAACAAGAGCAAAACTCCGTCTCAATAAATAAATAAAATAAAAATAACATTAACTATGGCCTATCTGTTGAACTGATTTCAGATTTCAAGGAAAATTGCGGCGTTATGGATAGGGTAGGGGAAAGTAATATGGACATTTAGAGAAACAAGGTAACCTGAAAAATGTAACCTTGGAGATTTTAAGGAATCTTGCAAAATGTGGTCTTTATTAATGTGGTAGGGAGGTGTACAGGCACACACCTGACACGTGTTCCTGGAGTACATGCACTTTGCTGGGCCCCAGTCAAGGTCTTAGAAACACCGCTGTGAATCAAGACAGAAACTCTGTCTGCTCTCACAGGGTTTATATTTTATTGGGGGAGAAAGGCCAAGTACCCAGACATTTCCAGTCCCGTGTGGTGAAGGTCAGGGGACTGTGGACACCAATCCTGCACTTCAGGTGTCAGGAAAAATTTCCTGAGAGAAATGGTATCAGCCATGGATTGAATGTTTGTGTATCTCCCCCTCCCAATTCATATATTGAAACCCTAATCCTCAATGTTATGGTATTTGGAGGTGGGGCCTCTGGGACGTAATTAGGTCATGAAAGTGGAACTCTCAAGAATGAGCTACTAATCTCACCAAACCTCTTATAATCTGCCCTTATAAGAAGAGGCCAGATTGGGCGGGGCATAGTGGCTAACACCTGTAATCTTAGCCCTTTGGAGGCTGAGGTGGGAGGATTGAGCACAGGCGTTCGAGACCAACCTGGGCAACATGGCAAAAACCCCATCTCTCTCAAAAAAGATACAAAAATTTGCTGGGTGTGCTGGCATGTGCCTGTAGTCCCAGCAACTAGGGAGGCTGAGGTGGGAAGATCACTTGAGCCTGGGGAGGCGGAGGCTGCAGTGAGCAGTGATCAAGCCGCTGCACTCCAGCCTGGGCAACACAGTGAGAACTTGAGATCAGGAGTTCCAGACCAGCCTGACCAACATGGTGAAACCTCATCTCTACTAAAAAAAATACAAAATTAGCCGGGCGTGGTGATGCGTGCCTGTAATCACAGCTAATTGAGAGGCTGAGGCAGGAGAATCACTCGAACCCGGGAGGCGGAAGTTGCAGTGAGCTGAGATCGAGCCATTGCACTCCAGCCTGGGCAACAAGAGTGAAACTCTGTCTCAAAACAAACAAAAACAAACAAACAAAAAAGGATCTCTGATCACAAAGCTTTTGTTTAAGAATTTATTGCTTGATGATATCATGTCATAAATTATTTATTTATTTATTTATTTTCTTTTTCTTTTTTTTTGAGATGGATTCACTCTGTCACCCAGGCTGGAGTGCAGTGGCACAATCTGGGCTCTCTGCAACTTCTGCCACCTGGGTTCAAGCAATTCTCCTGCCTCAGCCTCCCAAGTAGCTGAGATTACAGGCATGCGCCACCACGCCCAGCTAATTTTTGTATTATTAGTAGAGACGGGGTTTCCCTATGTTCGCCAGGCTGGTCTCCAACTCCTGACCTCAAGTGATCTGCCCGCCTCGGACTCCCAAAGCGTTGGGATTACAGGCGTGCGCCACCATTCCGACCCATAAATTATTAAAACAAAAAAAAAGAATTGCTTAAGCAGGGCTGGGCATGGTGGCTCACATCTGTAATCCTAGCACTTTAGGAGGCCAAGAGGGGCAGATCACTTGAGGTCAGGAGTTCAAGACCAACCTGGCCAACGTGGTGAAACCCTGTCTCTATTAAAAATACAAAAAATTAGCCGGGCGTGGTGGCAAGCACCTGTAGTCCCAGCTACTCGGGAGGCTGAGGCAGGAGAATCACTGGAACCTGGGAAGCAGAGGTTGCAGTGAGCCAAGATTGAGCCATTGCACTCCAGCCTGGGTGACAGAGTAAGACTCTGACTCAAAAAAAAAAAAAAAAAAAAAGAATTGCTTAAGCAGATCCTGAATTCCAGCAGAACAGCTGACTCCACCAGCTCAAAGACTCCCACAGAAGCCAGGAGCAGTGGCTCACGCCTATAATCCCAATGCCTGTAATCCCAGCACTTTGGGAGGCCAAAGCAGTGGACTGCTTGAGCCCAGGAGTTTGAGACCAGCCCTGGGCAACATGGTAAGACCCTGTCTTTATAAAAAAAAAAATTAAAAATTAGTGGGGCATGGTGGCATGTACCTGTGGTCCCAGCTACTCAAGAGGCTGAGGTAAGAGGATCGCTTGAGCCCATGAGTTTGAGGCTGCAGTGAGCTACGATTGTGCCACTGCACTCCAGCCTGGGTGACAGAGCAAGACCCCGTCTTTCTTTTTCTTTTTTTGAGATGGGGTCTCACTCTGTTGCCAGGCTGGAGTACAGTGGCACGATCTCGGCTCACTGCAACCTCTGCCTTGCGGGTTCACGCGATTCTCCTGCCTCGGTCTCCCGAGTAGCTGAGACTACAGGTGCACACCACCATGACCAGCTAATTTTTGTATTTTTAGTAGAGATGGGGTTTCACCATGTTCGCCAGGATGGTCTCAATCTCTTGAACTCGTGATCCACCCACCTCAGCCTCCCAAAGTGCTGGGATTATAGGCGTGAGCGACTGCGCCAGGCAGACCTCATCTTTCAAATTAAAAAAAATAAAAAAAAAAAAAGACTCCCACAGTGGAACCAAGTGAGCATGAGAATCAGTTTCTTCATCTCCCTGTTTCATGACCTCACCCTGCACTCTTCAATCAATGATTTTCACACTTCATCCTAATCCTATTCCAAACTCTTTTTTAAAAACCCTAGCCCCAAAGTACTCTGGGAGATGGATTTGAGGTTTCCTCCTGTCTCCTTGTTCAGCAGCCCTATGATTAAACCTCTTTCTCTGCTGCAACCTGGTGTCTTGGTGTATTGACCTCCAGTGTGCATCAGGCAACAGAACTATTACAGTTAATACTTTTAGC
This sequence comes from Homo sapiens, assembly GCF_000001405.40. Taxonomy (NCBI): domain Eukaryota; kingdom Metazoa; phylum Chordata; class Mammalia; order Primates; family Hominidae; genus Homo; species Homo sapiens. The sequence goes on along the minus strand of NC_000017.11, from coordinate 8,250,668 downwards.
CTAACATTCAAAGGCCCTCCCCATCTATCCCAAACTACCTATCCAATTTCTGGTCCCACTGCCTCTCAGCGGGACCCTGGCTTTACTCACCAAACTCTGCTGTTCCCCTAGTCTTGCCACTCAGTAAACACTACCATCATCCAATTTGTTGCTCAAGACAAAAACACAGAAGTCATCCTTAATTCTCTTTCCCTCAGACTCTCTAAATCCAATCCACCAGGAAATCTATTTCCAATCATGTCTCAAATCTCTCATCTCTTCATCTCTACTACCTCACTCTAGTTCAAGTAAGCCACCACCATCACTCACCTGGACCAATGCATTAACCTCCTGACCACTGCATAACCACAATTCATTTGTCACACATCAGCATAAAGTGGATTATGGCTTCCCATTACACATGGTATAAATTCCAACTCAGCATCCTGGTTTACCAAGTCTGGCCACTCTCTGGCCTACCTTTCCAACCCTATCTCACACCATTCTCTTTTTCACCCACAATGCACCAACCACACATTAGCTTCTTTTTTATTTCTCTAACTTGCCAAGCTCAGTCCTGGAAGGCATTTTTTTCACCCTGACATATGCATGGCTAGCTCTTGTTATTTAGATTTCTGGTGATTCGCCTTCGTGGAAAAGGCTTCACTAGCCACTCAAGTAGTTACTATCAGATGGCCGGCCCTATTTTAATTTCCTGTAAAGCGCTTATCACTATTGGATGTTTTTATTTTTCGCTCTATATTCCCCACTAGAAAAAAAATCTCTACGTGGGCATGGGATGTTGCTGCTTCGTTTCCATTGAATTACCAAGGCTTAGAACAATACCAGGGCTTGAAACGCAAAAAAATTCTAAAACTTGTGGAATGACTTAATGAACTCTTGATTCTCACCACTCTTCAGCCCCTCCCCAACTTTCAGGACAGTCTTCCTGAAGGCATTTTGTTTATTAAGCCACTTGATTTCCGTCTATCATTCCCAGTAAAATATAAGCTTCAAGAGCTCAGAGACAGGGTTTGCGTGCATGAGGGCTGTATTCCATGACCAGCATGGTGCCTGATATAAAGTAGGCGGCCGGCAGTCTTTCTGTTAGCTGAATCCATGAATGGGACAATGGGGCTAAATTTACATGGGGGTCGGCCATGCCTGGGGTCTGCGGAACGCACGCAAGATAGGACGAATGGACGCCTCCACTAAAGCAAATACGCGGGCACCAAGTAGACACAGCTCGGCCCGGTGGGGATACTGAAGCCGCCAGACCAAGCTTGGGCTAGATGACGAAACGCTGCACCTGGAGGAGGATCCAGGTCCGCACGCGGTAACTATACTCACGTGGAAGATGCACTCGCGGCCACAGAGCACCTCGAATCGTCGCGCGCGTTTGTTACGTCATCCGCGTGCGCCGCGGGCAGAGACTGGACCTGCCAGCGCCGGGGCGACTACGCCCCGCCCACTTTTCCCCAGCCACCCGGCCGAATTCTAGGTTCTTGGTGGGGAGAGGTTTATCCCCAGGTGGTTTCTCCCACAAATCTGTCTTGAACTGACGTTTGTGAAAATACATTCAGTTCCCCGTCCCCGCGGGGACAGTTAAGTAATGACATCAGTTAGTTAAGGCCATAAAGCAAGCATGTGAAAGTTGTGCTTTGGTGGCATTACGAGGAAGCCCTTCTCTGCTTGGCAAGATCAGGGAGACTGAAAGATGCTTAGAAGTCATCCACCAGGCGGGCTGTGTTTGAGTTCCTGAGCTCTGCTACCCCATCCATCTGAAGGCCTGCGGGATGCCGGACAGGATGTCACTTAGGAGGGAGACGGAGGCTGGGCGCGGTGGCTCCCGCCTGTAATCCGAGCACTTTGGGAGCCCGAGGCGGGCAGATCGCTTGAGCCCAGGAGTTCGAGACCAGTCTGGGCAACATGGCGAAACCATGTCGCTACAGAAAAATACAAAAATTAGCCGGGTGTGGCGGTGCAAGCCTGCGATCCCAGCTACTTGGTGGGCTGAGGTGGGAGGATCGCTTGAGCCCGGGAGGTCGAGGCTGCAGTGAACCGAGATGGCGCCGCTGCACTCCAGCCTGGGCGATAGAGCGAGACCTCGTCTCAAAAAAATCAGAGAGGGCCAGGGGCTGTGTTTCACGCCTGTAATCCCAGCACTTTGGGAGGCTGAGGCGGGTGGATCACCTGAGGTCAGGAGTTTGAGACCAGCCTGGCCACATGGTGAAACCCCGTCTCTACTAAAAATACAAAAAAAAAAAAAAAAAAAAAAATTAGCCGGGCGTGGTGGTGGCAGGTGCCTGTAATCCTAGCTACTCAGGAGGCTGAGGCCGGAAAATCCCTTGAACCTGGGAGGCGGGGGTTGCAGTGAGCCGAGATCGCGCCACTGCACTCCAGCCTGGGCGACAGAACCAGGCTTCGTCTTAAAAAAAAAAAAATCAGAGAAAAGAGACAGGGGTGTCGGGAGTTGGGATGGTGCACCGAGGCGCCTCGCGGAGTCTCTAGGAAGCGAGGGGGTGAGCAGCGAGAAGGAGCTGGAGGTGGCGAGGAAACCCGCTCACCGGTGACGTCACCGAGCGCCCCCCCACCCCCATCCCCACCCCCAAGCGAGCACCTGCCCCTCCCGGGGGCGGAGCTCCGGCGCATCATGGCGGCTGGCCGGGCCCAGGTCCCTTCCTCCGTGAGTGCTGCTATTACGTCTCTTGTTCCTTTTTTCTTGTTTGTCACAGATACTCTTTCTCTTCCTATTTCCTCTGCCTTGTCTCTCTGGGCTCGCTGGCCGCGTCCGGCCCATGGGTGAGGGGGTTGTGAGTCGGTCCGCTCCTACCTCTTACTGGTTCTGCGAATGTTTATTCCCTCATTCACGCGGCGCCCGCTGTGAGCCTTAAACTGGTCTCCGTTCACTCTCTAGGGTTTAATCCTGGTGGGAAACCAGGAGCAGGTTAATGGGGGAACTATGGGGCTGTGGGTTCCTGGAGAAGACCCTTGACGGAGCTGTAGGGGAAAAGGGCAACCATAATAAGTAAAAGCGTCTGAGACCCGAAGTGCGTGTAGAAGGCAAAAAGCGCCGAAAGGGGCTGGGTGTGGTGGCTCACGCTTGTAATCCAGCACTGTGGGAGGCGGAGGCGGGCGGATTACTTGAGGTCAGGAGTTCGAGACCAGCCTGACCAACATGGTGAAACCTCATCTCTACTAAAAATACAAAAATTAGCCGGGCGTGGTGGCGCGCACCTGTAATTCCAGCTACTCAGAAGGTTGAGGCAGGAGAATCGCTTGAACCGGGTAGACGGAGGCTGCAGTGAGCTGAGATTGTGCCACAGCACTCCAGCCTGGGCAACAGAGCGAGACTCTGTCAAAAAAAAAAAAAAAAAAAAAAAAGCGCCGGAAGGGGTTTCAGGACGGAAGCAAACACATATTCAAAGGCAGGAGGATAGAGCAGGTGTCTGAAAAACTCAAAAGTTCAGTTGGGTGGTGGTGGAGGGGTCAGAGCTGACAGTTTTGTACCTCTTGCTAAGCAGCGACTTTAACATGAGGGTAATTGGGTGTGGTGGCACACGCCGGTAATCCCAGCTGCTCAGGAAGCTGAGCAGGGAACCACGGAAGTGGAGGTTGCAGTGAGCCGAGATCGCGCCACTGCACTCTAGCCTGGACGACAGAGCCAGACTCCATCTCAAATAAATAAATAAATAAATAAATAAATAAATAAATAAATAAATAAGATGTTAAGAAAATACAATCTAAAGGATTGGTTTGTGTGCGTGTGTGTGTGTGTGTGTTTTGAGACGGAGTCTAGCTTTGTCACCAGGCTGGAGTGCAGTGACGCGATCTCGGCTCACTGCAACCTCTGCCTCCCAGGTTCAAGCGATTCTTCTGCCTCAGCCTCCCGAGTAGCTGGAATTACAGGCATACAGGCACGCGCCGCCATGCCCAGCTCATTTTTGTATTTTTTTTCTTTTTTTTAAGTACAGACGGTGTTTCACCATGTTAGCCAGGATGGTCTCGATCTCCTGACGTCGTGATCTGCCCGCCTTGGCCTCCGAAACTGCTGGGATTACAGGCGTGAGCCACTGCACCCAGCCAGGACTGGGACCTATGTAGGGAAAGGAAGGAGCTAAGGAGGACATCTAGGTTTCAGGATAGAACAACTGTTTGGTTAAGGGTACTATTTGCTAAGTTAGTGAACATAACACTAGAAGAGTTCTAGAAAAGGACAGGGTTTTGTGGAAAGTTCAGTGTTGGGCATGTGTGCTGCCTGTGGATTGGCCATGGAGAGTCTGGCAGATGGATAGGACTAAAGCTCAGGAATGAGATCTCAGCTAAAGTAGACATACAGGAACAATCATCATCTGGCCATGGCTGTTAAACCCATGCAGTGGTTGAGATAATTGTGGGAAAGCATATTGTGTTCTTAAACTTCAGCCTGTATTAATCTGGATCTTCCTCTTCCTCCCTCCTTTTTTTTTTTTTTTTTTTTTTTGAAACAAGGTCTTACTCTGTCACCCAGGCTAGAGTGCAGTGGCACCATCATGGCTCACTGCAGCCTCAACCTCCCTGGGCTCAAGCGATCCTCCCACCTCAGCCTCCCAAGTAGCTGGGACTACTGGCGTGTGCTACCACGCCAGGCTAACCCAGCTAATTTTGAATTGTTTTAGAGTTTCACCATGTTGCCCAGGCGGGTCTCAACCTTCCCAGGCTAAGGTGATCCTCCCACCTCAGCCTCCCAAGTAGCTGGGACTACTGGCATGTGCTACCACGCCAGGCTAATCCAGCTAATTTTGAATTGTTTTAGAGTTTCACCATGTTGCCCAGGCGGGTCTCAACCTTCCCAGGCTCAGGTGATCCTCCCACCTCAGCCTCCCGAGTAGCTGGGACTACAGGCACGAGCCACCATGCCCAGCTAATTTTTCTTTTTTGTAGAGACGGGTCTTTGCCTTGTTGCCCAGACTAGTAGTGAACTACTGGGCTCGAGCGATCCACCTTGGCCCCCCAGAGTGCTGGGATTACAGGCGAGAGCCACCACATCCAGTCTGCTCCATTTTTACTCAGTAGATGAAAACACGAATTTGCCTTTTTAACAAAACTTAGGTAATTTTACCTTGAAGCCATGGGATCACTTTGAGAGACAGTCGTATTCAGTGCACCAAGCAAAGGATAGGCCATCCGAGAAACAGGAACTACAAAAGAATACTGGGAGAGGAAGACAAAAAGCGTGAGAGTCGGAACTTTGCTTATACTGGTGGGGCAACTCTGAATGGTGATTTGGTCTGCCTTCCACAACTCTGACCATGAATGAGTGTGTGGCTGAAGTGGGCTGAAAGTCAGTGGTAGGGCTGTCCACAAGGATGCTGAAGACATCTAGAACTTGAAGACTTTTTTTTCCTTTTAACTTTTATTTTAGATTCAGGGGGACGTGCGCAGGTTTATTATGTAGGTAACCTCATGTCATGGGGGTTTGGTATAGAGATTATTTCGTCACCCCTGTACTAAGCATAGTACTTGATGGGTATTTTTTCCAATCTCTCTCTTCCCACCCTCAAGTAGGACCCAGTGTCTGTTATTTCCCTCTTTGTGTTCACGTGTTCTCGTTATTTAGCTCCCACTTATAAGTGGGAACAAACATGCAGTATTTGGTTTTCTGTTCTTGGATTAGTTTGCTAAGGATAATGGTCTCCAACTGCATCCATGTTGTAGCAGAGAACATGATCTCATTCTTTTTTATGGCTGCGTAGTATTCCATGGTGTATATGTACCACATTTTCTTTATCCAGTCTACTGTTGATGTGCATTTAGGTTGATTCCATGGAAGACTGGCTTTTCTAGCTCTTTTCGAGCTCCTTAAGATTAGAAGAATGTGAAAGGCCAGGCGTGGTGGCTCACGTGTGTAATCCTGGCACTTTGGGAGGCTGAGGCGGGCGGATCACTTGAGTTCAGGAGTTCGAAACTAGCTTGGCCAACATGGTGAAACTTCGTCTCTACTAAAAATATAAAAAATTAGCTGGGTGTGGTGGTGGATGCCTGTAATCCCAGCTACTTGGGAGGCTGAGACAGGAGAATCACTTGAACCCGGAAGGCGGAGGTTGCGGTGAGCCGAGATTGCGCCATTGCACTCCAGCCTGGGCGACAAAGCAAGACTCCGTCTCCAAAAAAAAAAAAAGAGGAATGTGAAAGATTGACCAGGATGTTAATATATGAGCATTGGAGGACCAGGGAAGGAGCTGTAATGGCTTAGAAGTAGCATTAAGGGAGAAGGATAAAGGGCCTACTGCCAAGTGTGTTAAAGCTGCCTAGCACTGGGAGTAGGCCAAACTGGTCCTTTTCCCTAAAGTTATCTACATATCATGGCAAGTGTGTGTCCAGAATCTGTGTCAGGTATACAAAGATAGTCCATATCCTCCTCAGGAAGCCCACACCTTAGCTGAAAAGACAACAGGAAACAAATCAAGTGAGGTTGTATCTTGCATATATTTAGTTTGTGGGAAATGCATACCTTTGAATAAAAAAAGGAGATGATTAAAAATTATACTCTGCCTATGTCCTTTTTATGTACTGTCCACTATTAGGCACTTATACATAGTATGGCACTATGTCTTACTCATTTTTGGTTTTGGTTTTTTTGAGACAGTGTCTCACTCTGTCACCCAGGCCAGAGTGCAGTGGCGCCATCTGGGTTCACTGAAGTTTCAACCGCCCCAGGCTCAGGTGATCCTCCCATCTCAGCCTCCCGAGTAGCTGGAAGCACAGGCATGTGCCACCACGCCTGGCTTTTTGTATTTTTGTAGAGACATGATTTCGCCATGTTGTCCAGGCTGTACTTGAACTCCTGGACTCAAGCAATCCACCCTCTTTGGCCTCCCAAAGTGCTGGGATTACAAGCGTGAGCCACTGCACCCAGCCTGTCCTGTTCTTTATGAACGGTTTAAAGGATTGTTCAACAATGTTTTTGTCCATTCTTGGTCTTCAACGTACTGACTTTAGAACCAGATTCCATGTAAGATGGCATGAGTACAAGTTTGTTAGAGAAAGGGGCAAGACCAAAGCTGGATGGCCAGCTGTCTACGGTATGGCTGGACTAAGACTTTTAAGGTTTCTTCAAGTTCTAAATTCCTTTACTTTTGATCTTCATTTCATGTGCCCTCTGGATATTCTTTTCTTTTTTTTTTTTTTGAGACGGAGTTTCCCTCTTGTTGCCCAGGCTGGAGTGCAATGGCTCGATCTTGGCTCACCACAACCTCCGCCTCCTGGGTTCAAGCAATTCTCCTGCCTCAGCCTCCCAAGTAGCTGGAATTATAGGTGTGCACCACCACCCCCAGCTAATTTTGTGTTTTTAGTAGAGACAGGGTTTCACCATGTTGGTCAGGCTGGTCTCGAACTCCCAACCTCAAGTGATCCGCCTGCCTCAGCCTCCCAAAGTGTTGGGATTACAGGCGTGAGCCACCGCACCCGGCCCGGATATTTTTTTCTAGTCCTTTATTCTTCCCAAGTTTCCTTGGTGGGCCGGATAGTCAAGATGTTTTAACTAAATTCACTTTCCTCAGGAACAAGCCTGGCTTGAGGATGCTCAGGTCTTCATCCAAAAGACCCTGTGTCCAGCTGTCAAGGAGCCTAATGTCCAGTTGACTCCATTGGTAATTGATTGTGTGAAGACTGTCTGGTTGTCCCAGGGAAGGAACCAAGGTTCTACACTGCCCCTCAGCTATAGGTAAGGAGAGGTGGCGGTTGCGGGGGCTGGGCAGGGGCAGGTATTGAATTCAGGATTGAAAAGTAAGGTTCTATAATTAGAAAAAGGGCAAGTGAGAGAGTGAGCGGAGGACAAGGTAGTCTAAACATACCCCTTCTGCAGAGCTTTTCTAACACTATCAAGCTTTCCTTTTCCTAAAGTTCTCCTGAATTGGCTTAAGATTAAAGAAAAAGAGAGGAAGAGGGGAAGAGAGAAAGAAAATTTGGAAAAAGAACTCTCGAAGTGGGGAAAGAGGCTGGTGTTATCTTTATTTTGTGTATTGGGAAACAAAGATACAGAGAACTGTTTGACATTACCAAGTGCAGATCATTGTGTTTAAGATGTGAGTTTTAGGGCTTCCGAGAGTGTGTTTATATATATATGTGTATATATATATATATATATATATATATTTTTTTTTTTTTTTTTTTTTCTCTCTACACTATCATTTCCAAAAGTGTTCTAGGCAACGTTAGTAAAGCACAAGAAAAGGGGTTCATAGCTAAGTAAGTGTGAGGGACATTGAATATGATAAACGTCTCTGGGAGAGTCATAGGGTTTATTAACATATTAGAGGCTATGACAAGTCCTGCAAAAGAAACCTATTTATCTCCTCATAGAAGTAATCACTATTGGCCAGGTGCAGTGGCTCATGCCTGTAATCCCAACACTTTGGGAGGCTAAGGCAGGTGGATCACCTGAGGTCGGCAGTTCGAGGTCAGCCTGCCCAACATGCTGAAACACCATCTCTACTAAAAAAAATACAAAAATTAGCCGGGCGTGGTGGTGGGCGCCTGCAATCCCCAGCTACTCAGAGGCTGAGGCAGGAGAATCGCTTGAACCCGGGAGGCGGAGGTTGCAGTGAGCCAAGATCGCACCATTGCACTCTAGCTGGGCAACAAGAGCGAAACTCCATATTTAAAAAAAAATAATAATAATAATCACTATCTTGGAGATGGGATATATTATTCCAATAAATATTTTAATAGTTTTACTACACATGCATCTATCCTTAAGCAATATAATGTAGAGTTTTGCATAAGTGTAGACTTTAAATAAATGGTACCGTACCCTATGTAAATACCCTCCGTGATTTGCTTTTTTTTTTTTTTTTTTTGAGACAGGGTCTCACTCTGTCCCCCAGGCTCTAGTGCAGTGGTATAAACATGGCTCACAGCCTTTACCTCCTGGGCTCAAGCAATTCTCCTGCCTCAGCCTCCCACATAGCTAGGACCACAGGTGCATGCCACACTGGTCTCGAACCCTCAGGCTCAAGCAGTCCTCCTACCATGGCCTCCCAAGGTGTTGGCATTATAGGCATGAGCCACCGTGCCTGGCCTGCTTTTTTTTTTTTTTTTTTTGAGACGGAGTCTCATTCTGTTGCCCAGGCTGGAGTGCAGTGGCATGATCTCGGCCCATTGCAACCTCTGCCTCCTGGGTTCAAGTGATTCTCCTGCCTCTTGAGTAGCTGGGACTATGCGCCACCACACCAGCTAATTTTTGTATTTTTTAGTAGAGATGGGGTTTCACCATTGGCCGTACTGGTATCGAATTCCTGACCTCAGGTGATCTGCCGTCTCGGTCTTCCAGAGTGCTGGGATTACAGGTGTGAACCATTGCACCCAGCCCCTGCCTGCTTTTTGTGCTTAACATTATACTTCTTTTTTTGTTTGTTTTTTGAGATGGAGTCTTGCTCTGTCACCCAGGCTGGAGTGCAATGGCATCATCTCGGCTCACTGCAAGTTCTGCCTCCCAGGTTCAAGCGATTCTCCTGTCTCAGCCTACCAAGAAGCTGGGATTACAGGTGCCTGCCACCACACCTGGCTAGTTTTTGTATTTTTGCAGAGATGGGGTTTTACCATGTTGGCCAGGCTGGTCTTGAACTCCTGACCTCAGGTGATCCGCCCACCTCAGCCTCCCAGAGTGCTGGGATTACAGGCGTGAGCCACCGCGCCCGGCCCATAGTGTATATGCATATCTTGAGCCTGTGTTTACCTTGGTTAAAAAATTATTTTTATTTATTTTTCCCTATTTGGTAGGCATTAAATGATATTTTGTTACATTAATTCCAAAGTAATTTCTTTTTTTTGGAGATGGAATTTCGCTCTTGTGGCCCAGGCTATAGTGCAATATCGCGATCTCTGCTCACTGCAACCTCCGCCTCCCAGATTCAAGCAATTTTGCCTTAGCCTCCTGAATAGCTGGGATTACAGGCACTCGCCACCATGCCTGGCTACTTTTGTATTTTTGGTAGAGACGGGGTTTCACCATGTTGGCCAGGCTGGTCTCAAACTCCTGACCTCAGGTGATCCTCCCGCCTCGGCCTCCCAAAGTGCTGGGATTACAGGCATGAGCCACTGCGCTTGGCCTAATTCCAAAGTAATTTCTGAGGGTACTTGTACACGGTTTTGTTTTTTTTCCTTTTTATCATTTTATTTCACTGGACTGTTTTTCCTTTCTTTTCCTATAATTCTTGTCCACGTCCATAACACTTAAGATTACTTTTTTTGGCTGGGCGCAATGGATGGCTCACGCCTGTAATCCTAGCACTTTGGGAGGCTGAGACGGGTGGATCACGGGGTCAAGAGTTCGAGACCAGCCTGGCCAGCATGGTGAAACCCTGTCTCTACTAAAAATACAAAAAATTAGCCAGGCATGGTGGCACATGCCTGTAGTCCCAGCTACTTGGGAGGCTGAGACAGGAGAATTGCTTGAACCCGGCAGGCGGAGGTTGCAGTGAGCCGAGTTCACGCCAATGCACTCCAGTCTGGGCGACAGAGCAAGACTCTGTCTCAAAAAAAAAAAAAAAAGAGACAGTTCTCTCTGGTTGCTTTTTCCTGGGCCTTCAGATAAGTAGGAAAACACAGAGAAAGAACATGGACTTTTGAATGAGGCACATCTAGCTTTGCCACCCATGCCTCTGTGTACCTGAGCCTCTGAGTTTCCCCATTGGTGGTGTTTACAGGGTTTTGAGGTGAAGAAAATTCAGCGTTGTGCCTGACCAGACTCAGTATAGTATAGCGTGCATGGCAGGGGCCAACAGGTATTAGTTTCTGTCTTTGCCTTGTGTCTTCTCCAAAGCTGTCAGGGAAGGAGAGCAGATGCAGAAGGGGAATGGCTTTCTAGAACAGCATTCTCTCTCTTTGATACTCATTTGTGTATAATGTTCTTGAGTCCAACAGGGAGGATTAATTGTGATGTTTTGTAACTCGATCCTTTTCATTTCCACTTAAAAAAAATCATGGGGCCGGGCACAGTGGCTCATGCCTGTAATCCCAGCACTTTGGGAGGCTGAGGCAGATGGATCACCTGAGGTCAGGAGTTTGAGACCAGCCTGGACAACATGGTGAAACCCCATCTGGAGAGGGTTCCAGATTTCAGTCTTGATTTCACTCCAGCCTGGGCAAAAGAGTGAGACTCTGTCTAAAAAAAAAAAAAAAAAATTCAGGGGAATGCAAGCGAGAATAATGGTATTACAAAAAGGTGAATTTATCACAACGTTGATAATTTAACCATTACTTGTATCACATCCAACACCCACATCTCAGCCTCAGCTTCCCCCCTAGTCTCTAGTACTGTGCTATTCTAGACTAGAAAGGAGCTTGACTGGGGTCATTGTAGTTGGACTGTTAGATGCCTACGTGGTCCCATTAAGTTCTCTCTGGAGTTAAGAGCTGAGATGCTTTCAAGAGAATTGCCTTTGTTACTTACAAAGTGTTCTCCCCACACATTCATTTCCTCAGGCCCCTCATGCATTCCTACTTCATTTCTCTGGGTCCTCTCCCTGGCACCATCTTGTTGAAGATACTATTCAGCACGGAATTGGACTCAGATCCCATCCTTATTTTCTTTTTCCTTTTTTTTTTTTTTTTTTTTTGAGACAGTCTCACTCTGTTGCCCAAGCTGGAGTGCAGTGGCGTGATCTCAGCTCACTGCAACCTCCATCTCCTGGGTTCAAGCAATTCTTCTGCCTCAGCATCCCAAGAAACTGGGATTACAGCTGCACACCACCATGCTCGGCTAATTTTTTGTATTTTTAGTAGAGATGGGGTTTCACCATGTTGGCCGGGCTGGTCTCAAACTCCTGACCTCAGGTGATCCACCCGCCTTGGCCTCCCAAAGTGCTGGGATTACAGGTGTGAGCCACTCGCCCGGCCCCATCCTTATTTTCTTAGGCCTTTAGCCCCAGGTTTTACCCCTTTAATCAATCAAACTCACCTCTTAGTCCATGTTCCCTGCAACCTTTCCCTGGGCTCTTGAGGGTTTATCAGGGTTGAGGGTTGCCTTAGTAGGCTTGGACCTGGCTTTGCAGGACCTCTGTTCCCTTCACTCTACAGCTTCGTCTCAGTACAGGACCTCAAGACTCACCAGCGTCTCCCATGCTGCAGCCACCTGTCGTGGAGCAGTAGTGCATACCAGGCCTGGGCCCAAGAGGCTGGACCAAATGGGAACCCCCTGCCCCGAGAGCAGCTGTTACTTTTAGGGACACTAACAGACCTATCGGCAGACTTGGAACAAGAGTGCAGGAACGGAAGCCTCTATGTGAGAGATAACACTGGCGTCCTGAGCTGTGAGGTGAGTGGAAGGTGGAGATCAGATGCCTCAGATCCTGACAAGAATGGTGTCCAAGGATCAAGGCAATTAAGTCTCTGAGGAAACAAACGGGGAGGTGGGTGGATAGGATGCTAAGGTTCTGATTAACCCTTGCTCTTGGTCTTTCTTAGCTCATAGACCTGGACCTTTCTTGGTTGGGCCATCTTTTTCTGTTCCCCCGTTGGAGTTACCTCCCTCCTGCCAGGTGGAATTCCTCAGGGGAAGGGCACTTGGAGCTGTGGGATGCCCCTGTGCCAGTGTTTCCTTTGACCATCAGTCCTGGCCCCGTCACGCCTATCCCTGTCCTCTACCCAGAGAGTGCTTCCTGCCTGCTCAGGCTCAGGTAATTTCCCCCTCTAGGCATGGCAGGGGCGCTGTAAAACTGAAGGATGATGCTGGGTCAGTGGAGGGAGAGAAAGAAAAGGGCATTGATAGTAATATAGACTGAATGTTCCAAATCAAGGGAATGGTGGGCTTTGAATATTAAGAAGGTAAAGAGAAGGGTTGTTCAAGGGATCTGTGCCTTACCTAAGGGAAAGAGAATTTTGAAGGTTTTTAGCATAGCTTGCTTTGGGCTATGGACATTTTGTATCATTACCAGGTTATTCTTTACTGTGGAAGGGACAGCATTTATAGGGAAAAAGAAGAGAAATAAAGATGACTGCTGCTGCTTTTTTTTTTTTTTTTTTTTTTTTTTTTTTTTTTTTTGAGACGTAGTTTCACTCCTGCTGCCCAGGCTGGAGTCCAATGGCGGGATCTCAGCTTACTGCAACCTCTGCCTTTCAGGTTCAAGTGATTCTCCTCCCTCAGCCTCCTGAGTAGCTGGGATTACAGGGCTTTTTCTTCCTTCTTAGAAACAAGCTCAGAGGTGTGCAGCGAAACCTGGCTGGGAGTCTAGTTCGATTGAGTGCTCTGGTGAAAAGTAAACAGAAAGCTTACTTCATCCTGTCTCTTGGTAGATCACACCCAGCTGTCACCCACGTGTCCATCATCGTGCAGGTGAGGACTGGGGTCATTTCAGCCATGGAAGTGGGGGAGGGTGGTAGAACTTTCAGTAGGAAAGATAGCATCATAGGAGGAGCCATGTAGGAAAGGAGGACAGCTGGGGAGAGCTGTTTTCTGGAATAGCGCTGTTGGGAGAAGATTCCGGGAAATGTTTGTGCATAGAGTTAGGGAGTAGACTTTCCCGCTGTGCAACTCACTTGAGCACACAGCTTTTAGATTGTATGTGACCTTTTAAAAAACTGCCACGCTCACTTGTGGAGATGACCAAAGAAATCATTCATCTTAACACCATTGAGACATTGAATACAGGCATTAAAAAAAAAAAAAAAACTTGGTACTTACTGTTGACTCTTTTTGCATCAACTGGTACAATTTTATTTTTATAATTTCAACTTTTAGACTCATGAGGTACATGTGCAAGTTTATTAACTGGGTATATTTTGTGATTCTGAGGTTTGGGGTATGATTGATCTCTTTACCCAGGTACTGAGCATAGTACCCAAGGTAGAAATTGTAAATCATTGATCTTTATTCTAACCATTGTTTTATGACATATAAGTTTCTGAATAATGTTTCTTTTCCTTTTTATAGAAATTTTAAAAATATATGTATTTTGTAGAAATAGGGCCTTACTGTGTTAGAGAAGAACAGTTTGTCATACTTCCCTTGACATCAGTCACAATACTGGATACATATATACTCAATACACTTTGATTACATGAATGAATGTTGTTTGTGTGTTATGGGGCGGGATAGGGCACAGTTTTCTCAGTGGAATATTTATGTATTTTGAAGGAAGTTTTAGGGATGGTTTGTATGTTGGGGAAGTGGTTTGGAAATATTTGGCATCTCCTGTGAGAGAGGAGAGACGCTAAGATTTAGTTGGCAGACATAGGGAAGATGGAGAGGTGAGTTGAGACTCACAGAGGGCAGGTCTCTGAGTTCAAATCGTGAGGGAAAAGGACTCTGGCAGAGTGGCAGTGTTGGGGTCTCTTGTGTCACATTGCCTGTCTCTGCACAAGCCAGGTCCCTGCCCAGCTGGTGTGGCACAGAGCCCTTCGGCCTGGTACAGCCTATGTGCTGACAGAACTGCGAGTGTCCAAGATCCGTGGTCAGCGCCAGCATGTTTGGATGACCAGTCAGTCCTCCCGTCTGTTGCTGCTGAAACCAGAATGTGTGCAGGAGCTGGAACTGGAGCTGGAAGGACCCCTCTTAGAGGCTGACCCCAAGCCACTCCCCATGCCCAGCAACTCGGAGGACAAGAAGGATCCAGAAAGTCTTGTCCGGTATTCTAGACTCCTATCCTATTCGGTGAGCACAGGGAGAGATCCTAGAGCTTGAGGGGCCAGAAATGTGGGTTTTCAAAGAGGAAGAAAATAGTGGTCAACTGGACCTCGGCCTGTTTGCAGGGAGCAGTCACTGGCGTGTTGAATGAGCCCGCTGGCCTCTATGAGCTGGATGGGCAGCTGGGGCTCTGCCTTGCCTACCAGCAGTTCCGTGGCCTTAGGCGGGTGATGCGACCTGGAGTGTGTCTGCAGGTATGTGAGATCAGGGCTGATAACAAAAAGAGACCTCTGCAGCTTCTCTTACCTTCATAGGCTCCTTTTCTGCAGCAGGGTGGTTATATAGAAATATAGAAATTAAAAGTGTGTGTTAGGGGGCACTTTTGCTAAGGATAACTTGGACAGAAGCTTAAATAAAAAGGAGTAGAGTCTTGGGCACTGTGAGGAGGAGTTGTGGCCAGAGCATCTCCTTCACAGAAGGGCCTTTCAGCTGGAGGAGGAGATAGCTGAAGCACAGATCTGGGGCTGGGGTGATCTCAGGCGACCCGGTGAGAAGCCTCAGCCATGTCTGTTCATCCAGGAGCCACCCAGCCCACAGCAAGACTGAGTGGAGCTCATGGGAGATGAAGGCTGACCGCAGCGGGAGTGGGTTGTAATGGAAAGTGAGGCCAGCCCACGTGGGAGAAATTGCTTTCCGTCTTCCTGGAACCCAGGCAGTGGCAAAGTGCGGTTAACTCTGCCTGGGTTCATTGAGTTGGGGTCTTCATCTCTGCTTTTTCATTTTCTCTGCTTTCCCCCAGCTCCAGGATGTTCACCTGCTCCAGTCAGTGGGAGGGGGGACAAGAAGGCCAGTGCTCGCCCCCTGCCTCCGTGGCGCCGTTCTGCTTCAAAGCTTCTCTCGTCAGAAGCCTGGGGCTCACTCATCCCGTCAAGCCTACGGGGCCTCCCTGTACGAGCAGCTGGTGTGGGAACGTCAGTTAGGACTTCCCCTCTACCTGTGGGCTACCAAGGCCCTGGAGGAGCTGGCCTGCAAGTGAGGAGGCTGAGGGCCCAGGGCGGGGAGGCAGTGGGAGTAGCACACTTCCTTGGCAAGGAGAGCAGGATTCTTGAAGAGGCAGGCTCTTCAGGGGAAGTGACTGTGCTGCTTTTCCTGGCCAAGGCTGTGTCCCCATGTGCTGAGACACCACCAGTTCCTGCAACATTCCTCTCCTGGGAGCCCCAGCCTGGGACTGCAACTCCTGGCTCCTACCCTGGATCTTCTAGCTCCGCCAGGCAGCCCTGTTCGGAATGCACACAATGAGATCCTTGAAGAGCCACATCACTGTCCCCTCCAGAAAGTATGAGGATGTGGGGGAAGGATGGTGGCAGAACACTGGAGGACACCTGGGGCCCATGGGACACACACCCGATTTCTCTTCCCTCCTTGACAGTACACTCGGCTGCAGACTCCCTCCTCCTTCCCCACTCTGGCCACCCTGAAAGAAGAAGGACAGCGTAAGGCCTGGGCCTCCTTTGACCCTAAGGCCCTTCTGCCCCTCCCGGAGGCCTCCTACCTGCCCAGCTGCCAACTCAATCGCCGCCTGGCTTGGTCCTGGCTCTGTCTGCTGCCCTCTGCCTTCTGCCCAGCCCAGGTAAGGGGGACCCTAGCAGGGCTCAGGTGATTTCCCTTTTTGTCATCCTTATTGCCACGACTCTAGTCTCGGTTACTATCTTTCTTCGTCATTTTGACTACACTAGCCTTCTAAGCAGACCACTTCATCTGTTGTTGGCCCTCCAATTCATTCTCTCTGCAGCAACTAGAAATGGGGATATGCCAGGCACAGTGGCTCATGCCTGTAATCCCAACACTTTGGGAGGCTAAGGCATGAGGATCACTGGAGCCCAAGAGTTTGAGACCAGCCTGGGTAGAGAGACCTTGTTGCTACAAAAAAGTTGTCTTAATTAGGTGCGGTGGCATGTGCCTATGGTCCCAGCTACTCAGGAGGCTGAGGTAGGATTGCTTGAGCCTGAGAGATCAAGAGTATAGTGAGCCAAGATCACACCACTGCACTCCAGCCGGGGCAACAGAGCAAGACTCAGGAAAAAAAAGGAAGTTTAAAAAAAAGTGAAACTTGTATTACAGAACTCTCTTGTTTAAATCCTTTTTTTCGAGACAGGATCTTGCTCTGTAGCCCAGGCTAGAGTGCATTGGCGCGATCATGGCTCATTGCAGTCTCGACCTCCCAGGTTCCAGTGATCTTCCCACCTCAGCCTCCCAAGTAGCTGAGACTACGGGCGTTCACCACCGTCCCTGGCTAATTTTATTTTTTTATTTTTTTGGGACAGAATCTTGCTCTGTCACCCAGGCTAGAGTGCAGAGGCACTATCTTGGCTCACTGCAACCTTGCCTCCTGGGCTCAAGCAGTCCTCCCACCTCAGCCTCCCGAGTAGCTGGGACTGTAGGCATCCATCACCACATCCAGCTAATTTTTGTGTTTTTGTAGAGATGGGATTTTGCCATGTTTCCCAGGCTGGTCTCGAATTCCTGGACTTGAGTGATCTGCCTGCCTCAGCCTCCCAAAGTGCTGGGATTATAGGCATGAGCCACTGCACCTGGCCTGGGTTAATTTTTACACTTTTTAATTTTTAGAGATGGGGTCTCACTATGTTGCCAGGCTGATCTCCACCTCCTGAGCTCAAGTGATCCTTCTGCCTTGGCCTCCCAAAGTGCTAGGATTACAGGCGTGAGCCACTGCGCCCCAGCTTAAATTCTTTGCGTGCCTCCCAGTGCATATAAAGTAAAATCAAACGTCTCATTGTGTCCTGTGAGATCCCGCATGGCCTCTTACCTGTAACCTCTATTTGTGCGCTTTCTCTTCTCCTACTAAATGTGTGAATGCGTGTGTGTTTTTTTATGTCTGTCTTCCCCACTTGAATATAAGTTTTTTGAAGCCAGAGACGTGTCTTTTTTGTTCATTTTGTAGCTTTACCATGTAATACAGCATCTGGCAAATAGTAGATGCTCAGTATTTGCTGAATAAACATTTGATAACTCAACCTTCATCTTCTTGCAGGTTTTACTTGGGGTTCTGGTGGCTTCATCTCATAAAGGTTGTCTGCAACTTCGGGACCAAAGTGGTTCCCTGCCCTGCCTGCTCCTGGCCAAGCACTCTCAACCCCTCAGTGACCCACGGCTGATAGGTTTGGAGTTCAGATGTGGAAAGAAGATGGTAGTGGGATGGTGGTTCTCATAGCCAGGGGAGCCTGGGAGGAAAAGCCTGCTGGGATTTACTAGAGATGCAGAAGTGACACATGTCAATCAACAACTTCTGGGAGACTTGTATGGCAGGCAGAGAACAGGAGCAAGAGGACCCCTAGCCAGAATTTCCAGCATGCATTTCTCCACCGTAGCTCCTAACATGCACTCCAGGATTACAACTGTGTCTCCTACATTCTTAGTTTGGAGAGAAGGTGTCACCCCTCTAAGGTGGGGGTCAGGTGTGGGCTTTCATGTCATGTGAGGGCAGCAGCTCTGGCCTGGGATGGGTAGTGAGGCCGGTAGGATGGTTTGCCTTGCAACCCACCCCACAGGTCTCCTTTCTTGTCAAAACAGAAAACTTTCTTCCTCTAGGCTGCCTGGTGCGGGCAGAGAGGTTTCAGTTGATCGTAGAGAGGGACGTGAGAAGCAGCTTCCCTTCCTGGAAGGAGCTGAGCATGCCAGGCTTCATCCAGAAGCAGCAGGCCAGGTTGGCTCCTTGGGGTCATGGTTGTCTTGAGTCTGGGGGGAAGGAAGGGCCTGGTGGAAGGAGTGGGATGCTGGGGACCAAAATACCCAATGCCTGCATCACTAAGAAATGTATTCCTTGTCTCTCCCAACAGAGTCTATGTCCAGTTCTTTCTGGCTGATGCCCTGATCCTGCCTGTGCCCAGACCCTGCCTTCATTCAGCAACACCCTCAACACCTCAGACAGATCCCACCGGCCCAGAGGGACCCCACCTAGGACAGAGCCGGCTCTTCTTGCTCTGCCACAAGGAGGCCCTCATGAAGCGTAATTTTTGTGTCCCCCCAGGAGCAAGTCCAGAGGTGCCCAAGCCCGCCCTCAGTTTCTATGTGTTGGGGAGCTGGCTTGGGGGCACCCAGAGGAAGGAGGGTACTGGATGGGGGCTGCCCGAGCCCCAGGGAAATGACGACAATGATCAGAAGGTAAACTGGGACTCCAGGGACCCAGGACCTGACCTGCGCCCTGAGCCTCTGGCTAGGATCCCAGCACTTTGCTCTCCATCCTCCCAGGTTCACCTCATTTTCTTTGGCTCTTCAGTCCGCTGGTTTGAGTTCTTGCACCCGGGACAGGTGTACCGACTCATAGCTCCTGGCCCCGCTGTGAGTGTCCTACTTCATCATACCTTTCCCCAGAAAGCTTTTTTGGGGTTGGGGTCTAAAGAGGGCATGCCAGTGCCTGGTCATTCTCTAGGCCTCCTGGAAGAAGGCTGGATTTAGATACACCAGAAAGCCTGTGTGTGTTGACACACTTCCTTCTCCATGCTCCAGAAAGAACAAAATTGGGTCAGAATGTTTTGTGAACCTCCCACTGGACTAGCACACACTCACAGGCAGTCGTCTTCCCATTTCCGTGCAGACACCAATGTTGTTTGAAAAGGATGGTTCATCCTGCATATCTCGGCGTCCTCTGGAGTTGGCTGGCTGTGCATCCTGCCTCACTGTCCAGGACAACTGGACTCTGGAGCTTGAAAGCTCCCAGGATATCCAAGATGTGCTGGATGCAAACAAGTCATTGCCTGAATCCTCACTGACCGACCTGCTCAGTGACAAGTAAATGTCCACCAAGCCCCTCTGGTTAATTTGGCCACTCTCTCTTCTCCCAAGCTAGCTGGGTTTGGTGAAGACTTCATTTTCTGCTGCAGGAGGTATTTCTTTTGTTATTGTTGTTTTTGTTTGTTTTTTTTTGAGACGGAGTCTCACTCTGTTGCCTAAGCCAGAGTGCAATGGCCTGATCTCAGCTCACTGAAACCTCTACTTCCCTGGTTCGAAGGATTATCCTGCATCAGCCTCCCAAATAGCTGGGATTATAGGGGTGCACGCCACCACACCCAGCTAGTTTTTTTGTATTTTTAGTAGAGACAGGGTTTCGTCATGTTGGCCAGGCTGGTCTTGAGTTCTTGACCTTAAGTGAGCCTCCCACCTCAGCCTCCCAAAGTGCTGGGATTTAGGGGCGTGAGCCACCTTGTGCGGGTTTTGAATGATCTGCCACAACCCTCTTTTTCCCATAGGCCCTGTTACTCTTAGTGTGCAGTGTGGCAGAGCTCAGGTTTTTTCAGGACTTTATATATGAAGTTCTAGCAGATACTTTAGCTCCATTTTCTGCCTTGAATCTGACTGTCTCCACTCTGTGCTTTCTTGTGCCTCCATTCTCAGTGTATTTCCCTGACCTTCCAGTTTCACAGATTCCTTGGTGTCTTTCTCCGCTGAGATTTTGTCACGGACACTATGTGAACCCCTTGTGGCGTCTCTCTGGATGAAACTGGGTAATGACCCTTCCTTTGTGGGGAAGGTATGAAATAGAGTGATGGGACTTTGTGGACTTCACAGATCCTACTAACACCCACCTTCCTTCTATAGGGAACACGGGGGCCATGAGAAGGTGTGTGAAGCTAACAGTCGCTCTTGAGACTGCTGAATGTGAATTCCCCCCTCACCTGGATGTATATATAGAAGACCCACACTTGCCTCCCTCACTAGGACTACTTCCAGGAGCCCGGGTCCACTTCAGCCAGTTGGAGAAAAGGGTTTCCAGGTGAAGATGTGTAGTGTCACCTGCCTCCTCTTGCTACTGATGTGGCTCTCTGGAATGTGCACCCCTGCTTAACTTTGCTGCAGCGACCCCTTCTCTTTCATACAGGTTTCCATATATCAGTCTGCCATTTGTGCCCAGCCAGTACCCTCACGAGGTGTTGCAGGCTGGTCCTCCTCCTAGTCTTCCCCTAGCTTTGGTAGAGCCATGGCTAGGATATGTCCCTCAGGGGGAGTGGCCACTCTGTGGTGCTTGATCTCTGAGTCCCAGCTTCTACCCCAATTTGCCTTGTCTTCCTGGTCACTCACTATTCCTCTTCCACTTGCAGATCTCACAATGTTTATTGTTGTTTCCGGTCATCCACTTATGTGCAGGTCCTGAGTTTTCCCCCTGAGACCACCATCAGGTCAGTGCCCAGACCCCAACCCCTAAACTTCCTGGCTTCACATCTGCATCTCCCACATGTCCCTGGTTCTGAAGATTTTGCCATCATTACAGTCTTCTCCAATCCCAACAAGATGTGTTGAGTCAGAGGAGCTTCTCTACTCCAAATAAAAAATGCTCTGTGTCTATCATTGTACCCAGAATCATTTAGTGTTCTAGGCTTTTGAAGGCTTTTCAGTCTTAACATGCAAATATTTCTTGGCTAACATCATGGTGTTCAAACCTGAAAAATAACCAATGACTATCAGAGATCAGGAATTAAAATGGGGCTTCTAGGAGCGCATGGAACCCACTGCTGTCCCCATCCTGATGCCCTCTAAGTCCTTCTAGACCCACCCTGCTTTCAGAACCCCTTTGCCTGTTCTGTTATCTTGACCCCTGTCTCTGTCTCCCTGTATTTATTTAGCATTCCCCTGCCCCACATCTACCTGGCTGAACTTCTGCAGGGTGGTCAGTCCCCATTCCAGGCCACTGCCTCTTGCCATATCGTCTCTGTCTTCAGCCTTCAGCTCTTCTGGGTGTGTGCTTATTGTACCAGCATCTGCCGGCAGGTAAGGGAGGGAAGGAACAGGCTGAACTGAGTATGGAGTGCCAGAGGGATGTGATGGGACCAAGAGGACTTTTCCAACCACTGTCTTCATCCCAGGGAAAGTGCACTCGCCTGGGCTCCACTTGCCCTACGCAGACAGCTATAAGCCAGGCCATCATCAGGTGAGAGCACAAGGCGTGCACCCATTGTGCCATTTACTTATGAGACCACTTTGTCTATCTGCAGTTTCTACATTAGCATAATTCCTGGCTCATGAGAATTGCTTAATATTTTTTGAACGAATGAATGAGGGTAAGCTCCTAAATCTGTGAGCCAAAGACTGCAGACAGCGGGGAGGGAGGCATGTTGGGTCCAGGGTGTTGGCAACCTGGGTTGCTATAGGCGTTTTTATTTCCTCCTGCTCCCCATAGGCTCCTGGTGGAGGATGGGACTGCCGAAGCCGTGGTGACCTGTAGGAATCACCATGTGGCAGCAGCACTAGGGCTGTGTCCTAGAGAGTGGGCCTCCCTCCTAGATTTCGTCCAAGTGCCAGGCAGAGTGGTCTTGCAGTTTGCAGGGCCTGGAGCCCAACTTGAGGTGTAATGTGGCTGGGAGGGAGGGACTCGGATACCCAAATTCCTGGGCTTTTGGCAAAGGGTTTAGGAGCCAGTTAACCTTGACCTTCTCTTTCTAGTCTTCAGCCAGGGTTGACGAGCCCATGACCATGTTCCTCTGGACACTTTGTACTAGCCCCTCTGTCCTCCGTCCTATTGTGCTTTCTTTTGAGCTGGAAAGGAAACCGTCGAAGATCGTCCCATTAGGTAAGGTTGGAGACGGGGGGATCATGATGATAGGGGGATCATGGTGATAGAGATAGATGGGTCCCTGGGAGGAAGAGGGATGAGGGACTGATGGGGAATTTCTGGAGTTAGGGAGGAGAATGGTGGGTGGGAACTAAAAGCCACATGCCTGAGACGTGTGTTTTTCCTCTCTTCCCACCTCAGAACCTCCTCGGCTACAGCGATTCCAGTGTGGAGAGCTCCCTTTCCTGACTCACGTGAACCCCAGGCTCCGATTGTCCTGCCTTTCTATCCGAGAGTCAGAGTACTCCAGCTCTCTGGGGATCCTTGCTTCCTCCTGTTAACTGAACTGCAAGGATGGCCTGAGAGTCCTTCCTTGCTGAAAACCTGAAGGCCTAGGTCCTGGCTCCTCTCCCTACTTGTTCTGTGATTGAACCAAGGACTCCAGATTCACAAACTGCTACTCCACTATAATTTCCCTTCTTTGGTGTTCTGGTGCCAGCCTGCCTTGGCAAAATTGTGGCAACAGGAAATCATGGCCCTATTAATATGTCCTCTGATTGGGACAAGGCACCTGCATTCACAGGCGGCCCTGAGCACCTGGGTTCTGACTTTGTCGCAGGAGCTGAGGGAACAAAAGACTTGCTCGCTGTGGGGTGATGGTGACAGGCCTATTGACCTGCAATGAAGCCCTCTGGTGTCATTTCTCACTGGTACTCATCTCTGGGGTCCCAGGCCTCCTGACTCCTAGTTGTCCACCTCCTAGGAACTCCTAGTCGTTCATCATCATTTCAGCCCTTTGCCGCCAGGGCCAAAGGTGGAAAGTGATTTGGAAGAGAAGAGCTTTTCGTCCAGCAGAAGAAATGGTACCAAAATCAGTCTGTAAAGGAAGTAAATTGGGGAGTTGGCGGCAAGGCAGAGAGCATAGCTATGATGGTCTCAGTCAGTAAGGCTGGGCCCTGCAGGAAGTCAAATATGAATGCCTAGAGGTGTTCACAAGCACAAAGAAGGTGTAGGGGGAGGCAAGTGCCAGGCACAAGCAGGGGCAGGTGAGGACTCTGGGTGACTGTGCTATAGGGCCCCAGGCTACGGTTAGCCCTGTAGGTTTCCCAAGGGCCTGGCCTAAGGCAGATCCTTGATCGATATACCTTGAGACCAGAAGGTGCTCCGAAATCACAACCGTACAATTAGGGGATCTAGGAACAATTCTTTGGAGATACCAATGCCTTTGGCTGGTGTTGCTGCATTTCTTTACTGGGGACTGATAGATGGAGAGGTGGAAAGATGAGCTGAGGCACATCTTTCAGAGCTACTGGGAGGCCATTTCTTCCTGGCTGTTAGGATTTGTTCGTGTTTGGGAGACCTTTAGAGCGTGGTTAAACCCATATGTTGGGATTTATGCTGCTTTTATGGTAGCAATACCCTATATTAAGATTTGAAGTAGACCCGGAAAGTTAGTGGCCGGTTAGCTCAGTTGGTTAGAGCGTGGTGCTAATAACGCCAAGGTCGCGGGTTCGAACCCCGTACGGGCCAGTGGGTGGCTTTTTTTTGTGTGTGTTTTGTTTTCTGACCCTCTGCTGTTATCCGGAAGTTTCTACCCGGAGCCAGTTGCCTTCTGGTAACAGAATTATATTGCACCTACTGCTTCCTATTCCCTGAATCACTAGCGCTCCCGAAGGCTTGGAGGGAGGAGTCTCTGGGCACCCGGGTGAAAGGAAGGTTCACGTGCAACCGCCGCGTCTTTTTTTCCCTGAAGCGCTTTCATGGAGGCAGATGTTTGTCAGTCAAGGGAAGTAAGAAAGGCATTGGATGAAAACGAAGCCCTAAGCCTCGTAGTCGTGGCCGAGTGGTTAAGGCGATGGACTAGAAATCCATTGGGGTCTCCCCGCGCAGGTTCGAATCCTGCCGACTACGTCATATTTTTTTCTTCAGCATACTGACCATATTTCTCTCCAGGATGGGATGATCCAGTCGGCACCCTCCAAACCTCTCATCTAGGAACTCTAGAATCGAGAATTTGATTTAGAGTCTATGATTTTGGTTTGAAATCTATGATTAACGTCTTTGGACATTGAAGGAAATCCGAGGAATGGACAAGTGATGCAAGAGCCAGTTGAGTTACCAAATTAGTTCTAGAAAGATCTGAAAAAGCTCGGTCCGGGTTCCTAGCTCTATATTCTTGTAGATGAATTTCAGGAACCTTTATGGCAGCTTCGGCGCCGTGGCTTAGTTGGTTAAAGCGCCTGTCTAGTAAACAGGAGATCCTGGGTTCGAATCCCAGCGGTGCCTTTATTCAATTGAAACAGCGTGATTTTGCGGCTAAATCCACATCCTTTCATGTATTGTTTTTATATCAGAACGCGTAAGAGTTTCTGTTCTGCACTCATAGCACCCACATTTCCTGCAGAGTCAAGCTGCCACTCCCATGAGATCGCCACTCTAAAAGGTGGTTCTCTAACTTAGGGGCAGAAATGTTGCATAGGCCTAAGGGTCCTTTGCTTAACTGATGCCACACCCCACTGGTGCAGGTGGACTGGGTCAGGCGGCCGCCCCACCCTCGATGGAAGGGGCTGCCCACCTTCCAGGCCTCTTTCTCCACCCTAGGACGTCCCCTAGAACCTGAGCCACTTTGTTTTGTTTGGCTCTTCATTATAGTTCTTTGGGTTTGGTGGCTCATAATGTTATATATATAGTATATAATATAAAAATATATATTTAAATATACAGTATTTAAAATTTGGCACAGCTTCCAGATGCGGTCCTCTAACTGGTCTTTCACTTGCAGTTACCTCCATCCCTCTCCACCAGCGGGATGTCAGGGTAAGGAGTAAGCAGGGATCCGGCTGGCCTGGCCTGGCCTGGCACCAGGTTTCGTGCAGCAGGGTGCAGAAGGGCTGAGGCCATGTGAACAGAGTCCAAGAAAGCATCATTCGGGAGTCGCTAGGGATCCTGGTGTGGAAGGGCAGGGCACTTTTCTGGAGCACTGAAGCTAGGCTGGTTAAGGAAGAAATAAATGCCAGAGATAAGGCAAGAAATAGGATCTGTGAGCTCTTGGCAGGACCTAAACCTCCTTGGAAGATAGGCAGAAAGCTCTCGACACCATTCCATGGCCCACGAACCAATGTAAGATGAGCAAATGGCTTGAAGGAATTGCTACCTCCAGGTCAAGCCAGGGATGCAGCACTGCCGAGACCACGTTTGTGCCAAGCACTGGGCTGGACCCTGTGCAGAACCAAATGAACAAGGCACGTTCCCCTTTCAGCACTAACGGCACTGTAAGAACAGGGAGAAGTGGAATCTAATCTGGCCTGAGGGTAGAGGGTGATCAGCTAAGTCTGAAACACCATGTAGAAACTTGCCATGTATGGCCGGGCGCGGTGGCTCACGCCTGTAATCCCAGCGCTTTGGGAGGCCAAGGTGGGCGGATCACGAGGTCAGGAGTTCCAGACCAGCAGCCTGGCCAACATAGTGAAACCTGGTAACATAGTGAAACCTCGTCTCTACTAAAAATGCAAAAAATTAGCCAGGCGTGGTGGCAGGCGCCTGCAGTCCTAGCTACTTGGGAGGCTGAGGCAAGAGAATCGCTTCAACCTTGGAGGGGGGAGGAGGTGTTGTCAGCCGAGATCGCGCCACTGCATCCCAGCCTGGGCAACAAGAGTGAAACTCCGTCTCAAAAAAATGAAATAAAATAAACGAATGATCAGCTGTTTGTTAGTTCTTGGTTATTAAAAGTGGGGTCTATGTACGCACTTTTCTGAGGAAAAAATAAAGTGTGGGGTATGTGGATGGGATTATGTGTGAACTCCCTGGATTGTATACATGTTTAGGAAGAGGGCCATAGCTTTTTTTTTTTTTTTTTTTTTTTGAGACGGAGGGAGTCTCATTCTGTCACCCAGGCTGGAGTGCAATGGCACAATATTGACTCACTGCAACCTCCGCTTCCCGGGTTCAAGCAATTCTCCTGCCTCAGTCTCCCGAGTAGCTGGGATTACAGGCGCCCGCCACCACGCCTGGCTAATTTTTGTATATTTAGTAGAGACGGGGTTTCACCATTTTGGTCAGGCTGGTCTTGAACTCCTGACCTTGTGATCCACCCACCTCAGCCTCCCAAAGTGCTGGGATTACAGGTGTGAGCCACTGTGCCCGGTGAAGAGGGACATAGCTTTCATAAGGGTCATAAAGGATTTAGGCCTCCCCTTCTGCAGCGTTTAAGTGCCTGAGGCCAGGGAAGAGGTGACTGGATTATTTTGCAGAGAAAGCTGGGGCCCAAGGGGAGGGAGACAGGAATTGGAAAAGGGTAGGAATGGGGGAGGAGATGCCAGATCAGCCCTGAGAACCTCTTTACCCATCTCAAAGACTTGGGACACTAATGGGAAAGGCTGGGCTAACTTCTGCTGCCCTTCCCCACTGTCTGTCCAGGGGAACCTGGGAAAGACAAATAGGAGCTGAATCCTTCACTGAAAGCCCCGTCATCGTATCTATGGGTTGGGCATTAGGAACGGCCTGGCCCCACAAATCACACAACTGGGGTGTAGAACAAAATGGTTCCACAGATGACACCAGGCTGGTCCAGGGCCGATGCAGGCCAGAACCCCGCTGGGAGGACTCCCCAGAACAGGCACTGAGCTGAGGAAAGGCAGGACACGTGGTCTGCTACCGACCCCACCAGATCTTGCTGGGACTCTGGGCAGCTCCGGAGTAAGAGCAGCATGGTGAGTGTTTAAGAGCGCAGAGGCTCACTGGGCAGTCCCGGGGACACTGCTAAGTCCCCAAACCGGGTCTACAGGCCTTCGACCACATTCATGCGGCCACGTGCCTCAGAGCCTTCGGGGGGTCTTAGGAGGCAGGCAGGAGGGTCTCCCTTCTAGGCCATTCTAGGAGGGGACTGGGGAGCAGAGGTTAGACTGTAGGGTAGGGGTAACCTGATCTTACAGTCCGGAAGCCATGAGACTAGTCGCCTGGCCTTGCGCCCCGCCCCACTGCAGGGTGGAAAGCCTGTCCCCCTCCAGTCACCCAGCTCAATAACGCCCTCTTCCGTGGGTCTTCTGGGCCCCAGAAATCGTTCCCTCTTTCCCTCGCTTGGGTACTGCCATGCGGTCTGGGGAACCCGTGGACTATCGATGGGTCTGGCCCAGGGTTTGCCCTGCCCGTTAGCCCAGGAGGATAGACAGACACGGGGCACTGGTGTTCCCCTAGTGATTTCTCCTGCCCGTCCCGAAAGCAAGCAATTCCACCGCTTCTCTTCAAAGCTCTGCAACGAAGAGCTAGGTCCAAGGACCGCAGGCGGAGGCAGGAAGTGTCAAGATCCCAGGTTACGGAATGGCACCAAGTCGGTAACCAAAGGAAGCAACAACCCGGGTGTTCAAGGCAGTCGTGCAAGGCGGCGCGGGGGCGAGGCCGAGGCCACTCCCTCCCACTTCCTTGACGCTATTTCCTGGGAGGAGCCGGAGCTCGCGGCCCGGAGCCAAGAGATTCCCAGCCCAGTGCTCCAAAATACTCGGCCTGGGGGAGGCTGGTCCGTGAGCGTGCGCCCGGACCGTTCCGCCATGCATAGTGGACCCAGCACTACAGCAAGCCTGGCACGACCTCTAAGGCGGTTCGCGGCAACGTCCGCACGTCGGCTCGTTGGTCTAGGGGTATGATTCTCGCTTCGGGTGCGAGAGGTCCCGGGTTCAAATCCCGGACGAGCCCTCCTTTACCTTTTACTGAGACAAGAGTGTCTTCAAGGAATAGGTTACCTGACCAGCGCTGCAGGAGGCTTGACTGTAAGTCATCAATGTACAGTAAGCTCTTTTGTGGCACCGCGGTAGCAGAAAGCATCTCAATCCCCAGACCCGCCTGGCATGTCAGGAAGAGACGAGGCACGCCCAGACTTGGGCAGGTCCCTCCCTTTCTGCTTCCTGACTTCCTTCCTGGTGTCTCAACTCGGCCACCACAGCCTGGTTTCGCTTTGATTGACACGCGTCAATCTATAGTTGTGGATGACAGTGTTCGGGAGAGCCCAGGAACTGTCAAAACTTGGTTCTCTGCAGTCCTGAAGGCACTCTGTCTCTTTCGGTCACTCCATCTGACGATTGGTGCCTGAAATACACCTACGGTTTCTGGTCAGCGTTTATCAGTGGTTGGAAGAACAGAACCCCTAGGAACCCTGCTGTCAGCACGCAGAGTGTAAAGTCTCAGATCAAGGATTCGGAGAAAGGTCTCTACAGGTCCCTCCTCGTTAGTATAGTGGTGAGTATCCCCGCCTGTCACGCGGGAGACCGGGGTTCGATTCCCCGACGGGGAGAGTACTAGCAGTTTTGAAACTTCTATCTTTTTGCTTTCATTAAATCCGTCCTGGTCCCTGGGATGGAGCTATAAAAAAGAGGGAAAGGAGGAGGGGAGGAGAGTTTGGCCTTCCTCTCCAGCTCGCATTCTAAGTTTCCATTTTACTTCAAGCAACTTAGAGTTCAAACGTGTACCTAAAGTGGCCATTATCTGCTCTGCTCAGTATGCTCATTAGCGCTCAGACTTGGCCTAGCTTGCTCCCTCCTTGACGGAAGTGCGCATTTCCAGTCTCTGCTTGAACCTGGGCAAGTAGCTTTGGCCCCCAGCCGTCCAGGGTGCAGAGCCCGGGCTTTTGTTTCCTTTCGCCTCCCTGCTTTTTGTGGATTCGCACTGCGATCCGGGAACAGTAGGCAACCCCGGGCCGAGATTCCGACGCGCTGCTCTCGCCTGGAGGGGCTTGCAGGGCGCATCCGTCAGGAGCGCGGTGGTCCAGCCGTGGTCGCGGGTGTAGCGGAAAGTGGGTCCTTTCGGAGCGGAAGTTTCCTCAGGAAAACCTCACGAAAACCCTCAACGATGCTGGGGCCCAGAAAACACGAAAAGGAAAAGGCGGGGGGGGGAAAAAACACCCAAAACGACTTGCGTTGGCCGGGAATCGAACCCGGGTCAACTGCTTGGAAGGCAGCTATGCTTACCACTATACCACCAACGCTCCGGTGCTAGCTCTCTTTCCTGGTTTTCATACCTCAGGTTGGTTGGGATGAGTCGGGTTGGACCCGTGCGGATCCAGGAAAACAGCGATCGAGGTAAAAGTAATGGCTGCCGTCGTCTGCCCAGCGCGCAATTGTGAGTGACCTTCACCGCTAGCGCGCGCCACCCACCCCACATGAACCTGTAGGGTTATGCCCAGTCTACAGACGAGGAAACCAAGATCCAGGGAAGCTGAGTCACCGGCAGAGCTGGGATTACGTCTAAGATTTGTCCAGGGGGCGAGAACTGCAGCGACACCATGATTTATCATCTCCAGAAAACAAAAAAAAAGGCCTAGACACATAAAAATGGCTTCTCTGTAGAGTGAGCTCAACGAGCTCAATGTGATTCCAGTTAAGGAATTGGGCCTTAAGCCAAATGCGCCTAAACGCAACTTGCCTCTCTATTATTTATCCAGAGGATGAATTTAATTCCTACGTACATGCGCCCACATCTCGTCAGCTGGTGCCTCAGAGAAATGCGCTGACAAATCTTAAAGGTGGGGCTTCATGACAAAAGTCCGCCCGTTATTGCTGCTCAACAGACCCATCAAGTCACGCTGTTGGACAGGCCTCGTGGCGCAACGGTAGCGCGTCTGACTCCAGATCAGAAGGTTGCGTGTTCAAATCACGTCGGGGTCAAACAAAACATTGTTTTCCCTAATCAAATAGACCTACGGTGACATTTTTCAGGATAGGAAAAAAAAAAAGCCTCCTCAGTAGAAGGATAGGAGGGGAATGAGACAAATATGAACGTTATTCAGAAGTTGGGTGCAGACTTTCAACATTATGTGATATATCCCTGTGGCAAAACTGCGCATGTATCCCTAAGGTCTATAAAAGTAAAAATAAATTTAAAAATAAAAAAATTCCCTGTTGTATGGAAATTGTTAAATAATTTTTTAAATTATTATTTTTTGTTTGTATTTTTTTTTCCCTTGAGACGGAGTTTCTCTCTTGTTGCCCAGGCTGGAATGCAATGGCACTATCGCGGCTCACCGCAACCTCCGCCCACGGGTTCAAAGGGATTCTCCTGCCTCAGCGTCCCGAGTAGCTGGGATTACAGGCATGCACCACCACGCCCGGATAATTTTGTATTTTAGTGGCGTGAGCCACTGTGCCCGGCCTTTTTAAATGTTTTTAATAATCTCTGCTGTTCTAGGTATGTTTACTTAACACTGAACACAAGGATATTAAATACAAATATTACCTTTCTCCAGACTTCCCAGCAGTCACTAGAAGCCCAGGACCACGTGCATTTTGGCTGCTTCCAGTATATTGAAAAACAAAACCGGTGGGATGGGATGGCTCACGCCTGTAATCCCAGCACTTAGGGAGGCCCAGGCGGGCAGATCACGAAGTCAAGAGATCAAGACCATCCTGGCCAACTTGGTGAAACCCCGTCTCTACTAAAAACTACAAAAATCAGCTGGGCGTGGTGGCGCATGCCTGTAGTCCCAGCTACTTGGGAGGCTGAGGCAGGAGAATCGCTTGAACCCCGGAGGCAGAGGTTGCAGTGAGCGGAGATTGGCACCACTACACTCCAGCCTGGCGACAGAGGGACACTCTCTCTCAAAAAAAAAAAAAAAAAAAGAAAGAAAGAAAAAGAAAAAGAAAGAAAGAAATCCAGGCCACCCACCCTATATGCCTTGTCTTTTCCAATGGGAAATTTATTCCCTTCACCTCTCTCTCCTCCACTAACAATACCTTTCTAAGTGTGACTGGCTTTGGTTGATGGGGAAGAATTTGGGCCATCTCACCACCATCCACACAGCAGACATTGCCCAGGTTAAAATCTGTGCTCCGCTTTCCTTCCCCTTTCTTGCCCCTGCCCACCTTCTGCCATAGCTGTCTCTGTGTCACTGTATCACTATGTACAAGACAAAGGCAGACAGTTGACCAGTCCTTGCAGAAATGGTGCTTGAAGAACTGCTGATGACCTGAGCAAGGTAACAGCATAGAAACTCTGGCGACCTAAGGCGGAGCTGGCTGTGAGGCTGGCTACCAAGCAGTCCCACCACCATTCTCACTGCCAGGGCAACCAGAAAACCTTGCCTGCATTAATTATTTCATAAGGAGATGCAAAATGATCATTTCCTAATTCTATCATTTTGTGTACATTTATTAGCTGAAACACACACACAGATATATTCGTAACAAAATAAAGAAGAAATACAGCCAGGTGTGGTGGCTCACGCCCGTAATCCCAGCACTTTGGGATGCCGAGGTGGGCAGATCACCTGAGGTCAGGAGTTTGAGACCAGCCTGGCCAACATGGTGAAACCCCGTCTCTACTCAAAATACAAAAAAAATTAACCAGGCATGGTGGCACATGCCTGTAATCCTAGCTACTTAGGAGGCTAAGGCAGGAGAATCACTTGAGCTTGGGAGGCGGAGGTTGCAGTGAGCTGAGATCATGCCATTACACTCCAACCTGGGCGACAGATTGACGCTCCGTCTCAAAAAAAAAAAAAAAAAGGAAATACACTTACAGTCCTTGTTTCTCTAACTGGCCACGTAGTGGTAGCTGATAACTAGCTGCTGCTGCTGCTGCTGCTTCTTTTTTTTTTTTTTTTTTCTTGAGATGGAGTCTCGCTCTGTCACTCAGGTTGGAGTGCAGTAGAGTGCAGGTGATCCACCCATCTCGGCCTCCCAAAGTGCTGGGATTACAGGCGTGACCCACTGTGCACAGCCTTTTTTTTATATTTTTAGTAGAGACGGGGTTTCATCATGTTGGCCAGGCTGGTCTCGAACTCCTGACCTCAGGTGATCCTCCCGCCTCAGCCCCCTAAAATGCTGGGAATAAAGGTATGAGCCACCGCACCTGGCCTAACTAGCTTCTTCTATTACCCATTTTGTCTTCCCATTGTCTTCAACAAGCCCCTCAACTGGTCCTGGTTATTTCCCTCGTAGGGAGACCCAAACCTTGTTCCTGAAGGGTCTAAGCCACTAGTAGTCCTATCTGAACTGAGTGCTTCCGCTTGTAGTTTTCCACTGACCTTAGAATCTGTATTAGTCTGCTCAGGCTACCATAACAAAATGCCGTAGACTGCGTGGCTTAAACAACAGATATTTATTTTCTCACTGTTCTGGAGGCTCAAAGTCCAAGATCAAGATGTTATCAGGG